>NC_000010.11:84537034-84688549 GCF_000001405.40 Homo sapiens
CAAAGAAGAGCCCATGCGGAGGCCTCATTTCCAACATCTCGTAGACCAACAGGCACAAGAGTGTCACACTGGGGTCTAGAAGCATGACTCCATGTGCTGTGCTGGGTGCTTTATGTGTTGATGATGATAATGATGGTAGCTTCTAACCCTTGATGTTCTGTGTGGCCAGGCATTGTTCTAAGCGCTTTATATCCTGCCCTCAAATTCTTGCAACATTCCTAAGAAGCAGGCACTAGCCTCACTATTTTACAGAGGAGAAACTAAGGCTTGAAGTTAGATACCTTGCCTGCACTTACAGCTATTAAATGGCGAAATAGAATTTGAAACCAGGTCATCTGCATCAGAATCCATGCACTTAATCACAAGGCTACTACTACATCTCCAGCTATATTTCATCTCAGTTCGTTTTCACAATAGCATTTCCTTTTTCACATGATAAAACAGAGGAGAGGCTCAGAGTGTTAAAAGTCAATGGCCCAAGTCATAGAGCTATTAAAGGAGTGGAATAGGCCGGAGCGATAGTGGGGAGGGCCGGCGGGAGGCTGAAGGCGGTAGTCTATTGTACAATGCTGCCATCTAGTGGTAAAATCTGAAACCTTCCTTATACGTACCCCGCCCATTTCTAAAAATGATTTACAGTTGCTTGAAGTTTCAGAAGATGGAAACCCTGTCAAATCCTCAAAGTATTAAAATAAAAGTGAAAGGAAAACAACCATATCATAATGGAGGAATAGCTGAGGCAATAGTTTTTAACTGAGAACCTACTTGGCTCTGAGTTTCCTGGCAGCCAAGGCTAAGAAGGAAATGTGTGTTCCATTGCTTATTGCACAATAAAAAGTCGATTAATCCATCACAAGACCAGCCTTGGACTTCATTTTTAATTCAACAACAATGGCACTAAAGATGTTGTAGGTGCCCTCCTGTGGACATTCATTTACCTGGAAAAGCCAACCAAGGGTCCCGATGGAACAAGTATGCTTGTTTATATAGGGGCCCTGGCTCAGCCTTTCCCCAAGCAGTCATTCCTGGGATGAGAATGACCCATGAAGGCTTTCAGCAAATGCTATCCACTAGGTCTTTCGGGCCCAGGCACCACCCACATTTGTGGTAGTTTTGGTTCAGTTATGTTTCGAAGGCAGCGCTGAGGGCCTGGCCCCTTGGTTTGGACTTTGGGTGGTGGCAGTGACAGTGCTCTGTTGTTCCATGAGCTCCAGAGATGTACTCTAGACCTGCGCTGTCCAATAAGGCAGTCACAGGTTACATGTGGCTCCTGAGCACTTAAATTGCAGCTGGTCTGAACTGAGATGCCCTGGAAATATAAAATCCACAGCAGATTTCATATAAAAAAGGAAAAATATCTCATTAATAATTGTTATACTCATTACATCTTGAAATAAATTATTTCATGCTGGATTAATAAAAAATAAGTTATTAATTTTACTTATTTCTTTTCACATTATAAAATGGGACTTTTAAAAAATTTAAAATTGAGTATGTGGCTGGCACTGTATTTCTTTCACGTCTAGAGATAGAAGAAATACTCTAGAGAGAGTATTTCTCTCTCTTCCTGGCTCCAGAGAGGTGGACTAGGCACTCTGGTCACCACGGGTAATGCCCCAAAACCCTAAGAACCTTTTGTGTTATTATGGGAGAACAGTTGTCTTTGTCTTCTAGATGCAGGCTAGCTTAGAGTTGAAGAATTTGGCTAAAGTGTTCAGTGGCTCCAAACAACTTTGCTCTGCCAGTTGGGACACGTTCTCTGTGTCAGCAGGCCAGGGATTGGGGTGGGGGTGTTGTCAACAATGGGAAAGGAGGGGCAGGGGGAAGGCAAGTTTGTTTCTCAGAAGTAGAATGAGCCACCCCTGCACCTGAAGTGGGTGTCTCTTTTGAAAAGGATTCTTTGGTCTCCAGGTATACAGTGCTCCTTCCATCACTGGGGTCCAGGTCTGGGCCCCAGCATTTGGACTTCACTCACCAAGGCCAGCTCTGATTTGCTGATGTATCAGTTATAGTTTTCAGAAGCCAATTTGCAAATTTCCTTTCAGATCTTAAAAAGGCTGGAAAGCAGAGAGATGAGGGCATAAAGCTTTGTAAATTATCAAAATCCCAAGCACACACATCTTCAAGCGCACAGGAACCACAAGTCCCCAATCATTATTGTGGTTCTGCTTTTTCCCCTATATTATGTGTTACAATATTACGAGTCAATTTCCCAGAAGTTTTAGCTGCTTTTCTCTGGCTGCACTAATTATATCAATAACAAACTCACAATCACATCAAATGACTGTCAACATATCCCAGTGCGCCATGCTCCATGAAATGACTAAATAAAGCAAAATTCCTTTATGGATTCCTTGGAGTATAACTGATCACAAGTTTGAGAATCTTGGGCTAAATCCAAAAGATGGCATCAAGCTCCCAGGCAGCTGGCCAAAATGTGAAGGCAATCTGCCTGGATGAACTTCTTCAAAATTTCCAGTTTACTCTTAGCACATCTAAGGTCACTGTATGAGTCCGTTTTCATGCTGCTGATAAAGAGATACCTGAGACTGGGCAATTTACAAAAGAAAGAGATTTAATGGATTTACAGTTCCACATGGCTGGGGAGGCCTCACAATCATGGCAGGAGGTGAAAGGCAGGTCTCACATGGTGGCAGACAAGAGAAGAGAGCTTGTGCAGGGAGACTCTGTTTTTCAAACCATCAGATCTCACGAGACTTATTCACTATCACAAGAACAGCACGGGAAAGACCTGCCCCCATGATTCAGTTACCTCCCACCAGGTCTCTCCCACAATAACTGAGAATTCAGGATGAAATTTGGGTGGTGACATGGCCAAACCACATCAGTCACACTCCAATTCTTGAATGAAACTGGGTAGGACCAGTGCCCACCCAAATGATCAGAAGGGAGTGTGTGCCTCCCACACAGTAACTCCCCATTAAATGTGAGTTCTCACGTCAGAGGTGCATAGGGCTGGGGAGCCAGAAGTATGTGAGGTCTCTTTCTGGGCTTAAAGCAGGGAAGGAACCCAGAAGCCCCCTGCTGAGCAGAGGACTCACTGTGGGGTTTGCCCTTTGGTAAGTCTGAATTTTGGTGGTCGAATTCAAAAGCCTCCTGTAGCGTGCAAAGGACACAGCTTCAGAGCCTTCCAGGGTGGCTAGCTCATGGTGGTCACGCCCCACCTCCTGTGGAATGAATGGATTCCACAGGGCTTAGTTGTCTGTTACTGTCTTGTTTCCTGTTACCCTGGGCTATGTCTCTTAGGCTGCCTCCAAATCTTCAGGGCAGCCTTGGAGGAGCCTCACACCGGACTCAGGCTAGAGCTCCCAAGGGAGAGCAAAGCCGTGGGGTGACTAGGTGCTCAGTGAGTCCCCAGGGGAAAGGGAAACTTGGGGAACAGGATGCAGGGCTGTGCTACCTGGCAGCCCTCCTTTCAAAGGGGATGCATCTCTGGCCATCATAAAAGATTCAGTTCTGTCAAGGGCCTTCCAACATGCAGAGCGTGAATGAGGCCTGTCAAGGGGCTCCCGGGGCCTCCCTCCCTTCGCCTCCTTCCTCCAGATGATGTTTCTTTCCCTGGGGTCTTGGCAGCTGGTCCTGAGCTCCCGGCGGCCCATTTCCCGGACCTGCGTTCCCAGGCATGGCCACACGAGTGCGCCCGGCTCCCGCTCCGGATCCGCCTCACCGGGGCTGAGTCAGGCTAGCTAACGGGCCGCGGGATCCCAGGGCCGGGTCCCCCGACCCTGCCTGATCATCTGAGGGGCAACTTCGCTGCGCTTGGAAATCCTCTTGACGACTTTGTCTGCCAGGACGCCCCAGCGGGGCCAGCTGAGCGTCCTGGCCTGCGGCTACAGCCTATGGTGAGGGGTGGAAACGGCGCCCTCCTCCAGTGCTGCAGAAGTGATGAAGATTCCCGCGACCTGGAGGCACCAAGTCCTTCTCAAGCGCAGGGGAGAGGGAGGGCGCGGTGCGGGGGGGTCCTGGGGGGCTCCCTCGGAATGAGGGATGGGTCTCCCGACGGCGCCCCCAGCCAGGGCCAGAAGCGTGGGCGCGCCGCGTTCCCGGTGCTTCCGTGCAACACGTTTCTGTCTCTCCCGTTTTCCAGAGGGAAAATTTGCCGTGGGAAGCAAGGATTCCCGAGCCTCGGTCCTGTCCACGCGGTGCAGGGCACCTGTCCAAGGTGGGCCTGGCCTGGCCCTGCCCAGATTCAGCCAGGTGACCGGGGCTGCAGGCAGATCCAGATGACAACGAAGTGCTCTCCCCTCCATTCTCCAGGCCTCTCCTGCGGGGACCCAGCTGGAAGGCCTATGGGCTCCCACCCCTCAGGGCAAAGGCTGGACTTAAGGGCCAGGCTTTCCAGGTGTCATTTCCTCTCCGAACCTCTGGGTGTCACTCACCTCGAATTTCCTGTCTTTAGTTGGGCATTGGCCGACAGAGCGCGGAATCTCTGCTGCCCTGCTCAGGCAGAAGGGCTTGGCCTCCTTCCCACAGGCCATGGTCCCCAAACACCACTCAGCACCCCCAGGCAGGCTGCACATCTGGATGGGCATAGGGGGAATAGGATCCCACACTCACCCTCACCATGGCCTCAGGCTGTGCAGAGCATGCTTCCAGGTCCTTGACTTTGGGTTTGGGCAGATGACTTTGGCCAATGGAATATTAGCAGTCATAGGGTTAGCAGAGGCTTTCAATGTGCTTGAGAGATTGGCTTTGCATCCCCGCACTTCACTGATTGAACCTAAATGAGAAGCGTTTCCTCCTGGTAGCTGCTGCCCTTTCATCCTGGATCCCATAATAAGCACACATAGAGCAGGCCTGAGCCCAACCTGCAGTGGGAAGCCGAGCCCTGCAGTCCCACTGCCCGAAGCAGAGCCGACCTGCTGAGCCCAGCCTTGACAAGCATCCAGTTGTCTTCAGTGGGCCACACTTACAAGCATGGGAATTAGTGCTTATTGTCATATGCCACTGAGAGCTTGTGGAGGTTGTCCAGCAAAGCTGACTGACCAATGTCCTTTTCTCAGTCAGGCCTGAATGACTCATAGCCCAATTCCATGATACAAATGATATCATTGAGACAATGATATTTTGAAAATTGTGCAAGCCACAGAGCTGTCTTCCTAAGAGCTTGTATGGTGTGTATGGTGTATATGCTTGTGTGTGTGTGTGTGTGTGTGTGTGTGTGTGTGTGTGGTGTATGTGTGTAGGCAGGGGAGGACACTATCTTCAGTCAGAGTTCAGGCAAATGCCCTGCACCACCAGTACAAGGTGAGGGGCCAGGCTGCTACCCAGCATCACCCCGGGATGGAATTCCGCAAAGACTTGATAGAGGGGCCCAACTTGATACAACAGTGTTCTTATTAATTGTCTCCAAATCTTGTAGCCTCCACTTATGGAACAATTGACACCGCATAGAGAGATTGTGATTTTCTTTCCTTTTCTCTGTTGGGTAGGGCTAGAGCAGCTGTCTTGTCTCATTCAAAGCCATGGAAGACGCCACCGCCAGTTACGCTGGTATTTCCAAGCATCATAGCTTTCCTTCCCTGTAGCTCAAGTACAACAGCATGTTCTAAGGATCCTGATTTGCCTCGAGTTTACACACCTGATAAGTGGTTTCCTTTGCAAGAGCCATAAAACACAGTGGATGGTGACCTGCGGGCCCAGCACAGGTATTCTAAAGCAATTAGCCACCAGCCAGGAAAAGCCATTATACGAACAGTGGGCTGAGTTGTGATGGACAGGTCGTATTCCATGAAGATTCCCGATTAGAACTCTGGAAAAGGAGCGAACAGACAGATTGGCAAGCCTCCGCCTCTACTTTTACCCATTAGTAGCCCTCCGCAGGTCACGGGGTGTTACAGCTGGGCTTTGGCTACTGCAGCCCCCTCTGCCTCCCTTGCTGCAAAGCTGAACCCAGTGGTTGACTGGGGGGGATTTCTGGCCAGGCCTGGACCCCTCCCCCTCTCCACTCCTCCCCAGCCTTTACTGCCCTGTGTCTTTCTGGGGCATTGCTTTGTGCAAAGACAAGTAATACCAGGGAGTTGTCAGGAAATATGCCCCTCACAGACCCCCTAGGACTCACTGCAGCTGACATCTGAGCTGCTTCTCTTCTAAAATGTTGCTCCTAAAGCTCAAAAACAGGAGCAGATTTCAGCAGCTGCTCCAGTTTCTCTCGGCGTGATGAAATAATGAGGGAGAATTGCCCCGTGACATCTGATACAGAACGTTCCTGTTTCCAGTTTACCCACATAACAAGATAGTTTCATTGATAATGAGATAAGCAGAGAGCGGTGCTCGGGAAGGCCTGGTGTCATTATGGAGCTATTTCTATGTTAATGGCGATGAGAGGAGAATGCAGAAACGGCTGTCACAGATTGACAAGGGTGATGTTAAATACGCCTGCTGCAATGCAGCCGCCGTGGAAGGCCCCATTCAATACGTGGGCTGAACAAACGGTGGGTGACTTGTATGCTTTGTGGAGAAGGGGGTGTTTGTGCCCCTCTCTGAACCCTCCTTGCCCTGCTCCCACAATCTTTGAAGCCGTCTCTCTCACCTTCTCTTGTCGGGCATTTGACCCTCTCTGCCTACGGGCCAGCCTCCCAGGGTTATCCAAGAAGGGTCTTTGAGATAGATACAAAGCTCAGGTCATCAGCCTGGGAGGAGGCCGATCATACTTTAAGGGGCCCAAAGTTGAAGATAGGGAAACTGACTCTAAGCTGGACAAGGGATAAAGTCATGAGATTAACTGAAGTAGATGATGGAGAACCAGATCCAAACTTGCTTAGGTGGGAGCAGTTCAGGTGTGGCTGATTTGGGTTTGACAGAAGCCGTACGGATGCTGTTTCTTTCCATCCTTCTTTACGCTCCTGTCTCCTCCATGTCATGTCTGGTCTCAGGCTCCTACCCCTGGCAGGACAGCCACAATCTGTTAGGCTCTAGGGGGAGAGGGAGAGTCCCTTTCTAGGAAACCCAGTAAAGGTGTCACTCCCTACCTGTGACTTAGATTGGGCCATGTGTTCATCTCTAAAACTGCATCAGTTGAGAAGCAATACTCTGACTGGCCAGGCCTGGGCCATGGAGTCTACCTGAGTCACGTGGTCTGCAGGCAATGGTCTTTCGTAAGCCATTGCCAGAAGTCCAGTGAATCATACTCATCTTCTTTTGGGCTCACATTTTTTTTTTTGTTTGTTTTTCCTTCTTGAATCATTGTTGTCTGAGAAACGAGGGACAGAGAAACTGCGCATACTGCTCCTCTCCCTGTCCCATAGGAAGAGGTCTTTAGCGTGGCCCAGAGCCTTCCTGGTTAGGCCTCTACCCTCCCACCCCAGCTGCCTCTCCGACCCATCCCGGTCCCCCAAACAGCGTGCTTTTCCATCCTTGTGCTTTTACATGAGCATCTGCCCAAGGGGCCCAGACTTTCCTTCTCCAACCAAAAGACTCCTATGGATCCCTCAGGACCCAAATTGTCTCACCCCTTCTGTGATGCTTTCCCCGAGTTCTTCCAGGCATTTGTCTACGGTCTGACTCCCTGTAAAACTCTTTATCACATTGTTATCTCATGACCCTAGGAGGCTAGGAGCTCCTGGAAGACTGTATTTTAAAGTATTCTTTATTTTTTTTAGAGACAGGATCTC
This sequence comes from Homo sapiens, assembly GCF_000001405.40. NCBI lineage: Eukaryota > Metazoa > Chordata > Mammalia > Primates > Hominidae > Homo > Homo sapiens. The sequence continues at coordinate 84,544,669 of NC_000010.11, forward strand.
ACCTGTCATCCAGGCGGGAGTGCAGTGGCGCGATCATGGCTTACTGCAGCCTTGACCTCTTGGGCTCAAGTGATCCTCCTGCCTCAGCCTCTTGAGTAGCTAGGACTATAGGGGTATGCTACCACGCCCAGCTACTTTTAAAAAAAATATTTTTGGCTGGGCGTGGTGGCTCATGTCTGTAATCTCAGCACTTTGGGAGGCCAAGGCGAGCGGATCACCTGAGGTCAGGAGTTCAGCCTGGCCAACATGGTGAAACCCTGGCTCTACTAAAAAATACAAAAAAATTAGCCGGGCATGGTGGCGGGCACCTGTAGTCCCAGCTACTCAGGAGTCTAAAGCAGATAATCGCTTGAACCCAGGAGGCAGAGGTAATCGCTTGAACCCAGGAGGCAGAGGTTACAGTGAACCAAGATCATGCCACTGCACTGCAGCCTGGGTGACAGAGCAAGACTCTGTCTCAAAAAAAAAGGATTTTTGTAGAGGTGGGGTCTTGCTATGTTTCCCAGGCCGGTCTCAAACTCCTGGACTCAAGCAATCCTCCCACCTTGGCCTCTCAAAGTGTTGGGATTACAGGGATGAGCCACTGTGCCCAGCCAAAATATTCTTTTCAGTTTTTTTTTTATTATGAAACATTTTCAAACATTAAAAAAAACAAAACATTTAAATATGTGTTCACCACCCAAATCTAATAGATGATAACAGCTTGCCACATTTGTTTTACCTTTGTCTCTCTCTTTGAAGAAATAAAATATTAAAAGAATACAACTAAAGCCCCAACACTCCCATTCCCTTCCCCTCTACTCCCAGGCTTCTGAAGTTGAGTTAAATCTCTATTCAATTTCACACTCTTCAGAATTATTCATGTTAATTTATAAATATGTTTTGTTCATTTGTACCGCAGTGGAGTGCTTTTGATTGTAAGAATAAACCATGGTTACTTATCCTTTTCCCTCCTGGGGAGTACATTTGTTTCTGACTTTTCAACATTGTAAACCTTCTGCAGTGAATGTTGTTGCCTGTATCTCCTGTTGCCAAAGCAAGAATCTATCAGCAGGTACACTAGTAGTGGAATTGTTGGCTTTACATAGGGTGTGTGCATCCTCAGCTTTAAAAAACATTGTCAAGGCCAGGTGCCTTCCCAAGTGCCTTCCCAGCTACTCAAGAATTAGAGCAGGGAGGATTTCTGGAGCCCAGGAGGTTGAGACTGCAGTGAGCCATGACTGCACCACTGCATTTCAGCCTGGGCAACATAGTGAAACCCTGTCTCAAAATCAACAACAAAACATGAATAAACTTTACTTGAGTTTTCTCCAAGTTCAGTCTGACTATAAGAAAATGAAGTCATATTTTGGTTCATTTTTATTTGCCCTATGACTGATGGGGCCAAGCCTTTTTTCATATGCTCGTTGGTCATTCAAGTTTTCTCTTCCACAAATTGCTTGTTTTCCTAATTAACGGGTTGTCAGTCTCTCTGTGCCCTGGAGCCAACTCCTTTGTTTGTTATACACAACCTTGTCTTATCCATCAGTAGTACATCCCTGCATCTTTCTCAGTGCCAGACAAGGGGCCAGCCATTGATAAATTTTTACTGGAAAAGGGAGAAATGAAGAAGACAAGCCCTCTGGAACCTGCAAAGCTGTTCTGACTGTCCCCTGGGGGTGACCTGCATGAGCACAGGCCTGTTTAGGAGATGGATCTGCCTGGGAACTCGGCACTAGGTCTGAGCAGATAGACAGCAGTGACAGCCAGACTGGGCAGGGAGATGGCCGATGGGGAGGGGGCTGCTGAGTCCAGTGGACCCTTTCTGGGCTCCACCCTCCATGAAGAGTCTCTAAGCCTTGCTGACTTTGTTGCCAACAATTCTTCAAGAGGCCACCCTGAGATATCTGGAAGGCAGTAAGAAATCTGGTCACTTCTACAAAATGCCGGGATCCCAATCCCTTTCCCAAGGTGAGCCCATTAGCCGCAATCCTCAGGACTCAGTTAGACATTTAATTTCCAGTTTCTCCAAATCTTGCTCCCGTTCTGAGTCATTAAACAGGCTCCCAGGCTGTCTCCATTTGAACATGCACTTGGCCGAGGCAGCCCTGGGTGCTCTGCAGGGAACATACGCTAACAGCTCCCCTTCGAGCACTGCCTGGGAGAAGTGTGGAGCCCAATCCAGCCCTCATCACGTCCTTAATTTCCAAGCACCACTTGCAGCCATGCTGTGGCGAGAATTCAACTCTTACCTGCCTGTGAATGATTCTTTAAATAAATACAGTTTACACAAAGCTTTGAGAGGACAGGAATCATAGCTGACGTTGCCCAGTGTCCCAGCACCTAAAATGTACCTGGCACTTAGGAGGCCTCAATAGTGATTTATTTATTTATTTTGGAGACGGAGTCTTGCTCTGTTGCCCAGGCTGGAGTGTAATGGCATGCTCTCGGCTCACTGCACCCTCCGCCTCCTGAGTTCAAGCGATTCTCCTGCCTCAGCCTCCCAAGTAGCTGGGACTACAGGTGCCCGCCAACCTGCCCAGCTAATTTTTGCATTTTTAGTAGAGATGAGGTTTCACCATGTTGGCCAGGCTGGTCTTGAACTCCTGACTTCAGGTGATCCACCTGCCTTGGCCTCCCGAAGTGCTGGGATTACAGGCGTGAGCCACCGTGCCCGGCCTCAGTAGTGATTTATCTAAGAAATGGATGAAGGGACCAGAACAATTGACATTATCAAGGTGGCAATTCTCTTTGAGTTTATATAGAAATAACATTTATTCGAGTAAAATATTATGAGATAAATATCATCTTTTTTAAACATTTAATCTAATCATTTAAAAAATTTATCTAGAACATAGAAGAATAGCCACTGAAATCTTGATATGAAAAATTTCCAGATATTAAACCTTGCTTCAGATATTAAAACCTATTATAAAGGGACAATAATTGAAAGAATATGGTACTGGTATAGAAGTGGATATATCAGTGGACAATATTAAATTGCTGAAATATACCCAAGTAATGCAATAATTTAGTTCATAGTAAACATGGTGTTTCAAAAGGGTAGAAAATGATTATCCAGCCTCAAAGCGGGGAGTCTCTGAGCTCGGAGCTCTGAAGGGCCTTAGCAGTTTGGCGCCTTATAATTGCAAGACCCTATCTTATCAAGAGGTGACAGCTGTTGGGTGAGATGGGGGGAGTTTGCAAAGCTAGCAGTCTCTAAATGGATAAAAAAATTGCTTGTTTGAGCTATTTTAAAAATAATTGGATGTGTAAAAATTTTAGCTGGGTGCTGGCAGGCTTTTGAGCTAACAGATCTCAGCCTGCAGTGCAGAAATAAGCAATCCATGGGCTAATGTACAGAGGCCATCTTTGGCTCATTTATAAAACAAGTCCCTGTTGGCAACTTCAGCAGCTACAGCTGGTGGGATCACCTCCCCGCTCTCCAGAGGAGCTGTGTATAAAGGGACTCCATGATGCTTCCCAGTGAGAGTCCAAGGTGAGCAAGCAACTTCCCTTTCTGTGCGTTTTCCTACCCTCCTTTTTCCCATCAGCCTCTCATGATGGTCATGACAACAGGCAACATCTGAGCATTTTTTTTTTGCCAGGCACTCGGTCAGATGCTTTCATGGAAACCATCATCAAATACACAAAGCAAATTTATGAGGTAGCAAATTTATGTATCATCTCCATTCTACAAATGAGGAAAGTGGGCAGAGAGGGGCTGAACAACTTGCCCTAGGTTTCACAGAGAGCACAAAGCAGAGCTGGGTTCTGATCCTGCAGGCTAACTCTCCCCCAGTGCCCAATGCAGGTGGGCTTCCTCACCTGCACACCTCCGCTTCCCTCCATCCCTCACCCCTAGTTTGTTCTCCTCCTTTTGGTACAAGTGTGTTTCCTGTAGCCCTCTGCAAGGCCTCCTTCTGGTTCTAGTCCTTCCTTCCATATCAGTCAGGGTCCCCCTGGGAGACAGAACCACAGCACTTATTTGAGCAGAGAGTATTTTAATATAAAGAATTGTTTACTAGGCATAAAATTGTGAACTCCATAACTGAAAGGACATAAAAAAGACTCTAAACTATCACAGACGTGGTGACTGCAGGAAGCAGCACTCACACCTAGGGCTGGAGGAATAAGGGAAGAGAATGGAATTATTAAAACTCAAGGCTTGGGCAAAGCCCCTGGAACTGGAACTCAGATTGAGTAGGGAGTGATGGCTGGTGCTTGGGTTTCTGCAATGGGTGGGAGGGTAGATGGGATGAAAAAAACTGCAGAATGAATCCAGCTGCTGCTACAGGAAGGAACTGCCTTTGCTGGGGCGAAGAGGCATTGCTAGGGTGATGCTCATAAGAGCAGAAGCCAATGGGAAGGAGCAAGTTCTGCTCCATCCTCCAGCTCCCCAGTCTCCCTGAAGTGCCCCCTACTGGTAAAGTCCAACAGGGAGCAGCCGGCAAAGCAGAAACGTGGTTTGCAGCATCCTAGCCTCAGCGTCACTGAGCTGAGATAGAAGGGTGGGTTTGGAGCTGAGAGACAATAAGTAGTACACCTTTCTGTGGCCAAGGTTGAAGCCTTATCACTTAGACTTCAGGATATGCGCCTCAACCATTTCCTCTCTGCTAAGCTTTTGGGGAGCTCTGCTTCCAATTCCCACAGAGTTATTGTTCCTCTTCCATGGGGTACAGATGGCAGAGTGCCAGGGTCCCTCTCCAAACGGAACTGAGAAATGTACATACCTATTATGTCCTCTGCATGCAGGGCCTGAGACTCGGCCATGTACACATACCCACCCTGGGTACCTTGGAGTCCATATTCTGCTAACTGTAAGTCCCCGGCATTTAGCAAGTCCTTTCCCAGAGACACTCGGGCTGGCAGAGAGGGAGGACAGCTGAGGCCACGCTTCTGTCCCTTCCCTCCCCAGCCTGTCCAGCTCATTCCTGTCATACATGTTTGCCTGAGCGTGGCACTGACACCTCGTGGAGTTTGACCTTTCTAGAAATGAATAATTTGATTTCTCAGGAAAGTAGTGAACGTAAGGTAAGCTTTAGCAATATCAAAGCAGCACATCGATTAAATATCTGCCTGAGAATTCTCTCTGGGTTTCTGTATTCCAAAAGGCTTACAATAAAATTAACTCCAAAGTTACTGAACTGAGAAATGTACAATTACTGTCTTGTTGATGCAATAAAATAGAAAGGACTGTTTAGGCATTTAATTGGCACCCAACAACATACGATGGTATGTTAGTTAGACATCAATTATGACAGAATGCTAATTGACATTTGATAAGCATTCTCACTGATAACCAATGTTTGCTCTGCCAAATTAAATGCCTCAGTGGGCTGTGTCTGACAGCTGGGAGGGGGTTTACTAAACGGCTGCAAGTGCCTGGCATCCTCCAGATGGCTGGGGCTTTCTCTAGAACATCCTGCTACTCCTTGGGAAATACTTCCAGGGTCAAGTGATTGACTTCTCCTCGTTGCTTCTGGGAAAAGAAGTCACCCTTCTCAGGGAGCCTGGCCTCGCTTACCTTCAATGCCCAATACCTTCATCTTCCCATCACCTGTCTTCTCTTCTCAGTCTGTGCAGCCCCACATTTCAGCCCACTTTCTGTAGCCTTTACAGTCAAGCCTATTTGAATGCTAAACCTGGCTCCACCATTTTCTAGCTGTGGGCCCTGACTCTGGGCTTCGGTTTCCCCTTTCTGCAACAGGAATCTTGCCTAAGTATTAGGACTAATGGGAAGAAAGTGGTGACCTCAATTTTTAGCACAGAGCTGGAGCTCAGTAACTTTGATTTTCTGTTCTCTCCCCTCGTTTTCCCTTCTGGCCTCCTATTCCTACTCCTGGGCTATGGCTTTGTGCCACACTGTTAGACTGTGACCCTGATGCCATGGTTCTCAGCCCTCCATCTGAGCTGAGACCAAGCTTTGACTACCATCAGAGAACAAATGTGTCTTGAGCTTCAGATTTAAGTGCTGGTCCCACCATGCATTAGCTGTGTGACATTGAGTCAGTTGCTTCACTTCTCTGTTCTTTGGTTTTCTCATCTGTGTTGTGGGGATGATAATAATAGTACTTACCTTCAGGTAAGGTAAGATGCAAGCACTTAGGGTGGTGCTTGTGCATGGAAAGTGCTCAGCATATATCAGCTTGCAAACATCGTAAACATTAGACCCAGCCATCTAGGGTGATGCCACTGAATTTGATTCTCAATCAGGTTTTTTTTTTCCCCACAGCAACCAGCTCTTGAGTGGATTCAGGCTTCCACAGTCTCTTGTTTCTAGGTGGCAATGCAACAAGTGGCCTCATTCCCTCTCCTTTGCTTCCTGGACTTCTGGATCATTTCAGAAAGACTCTGGCTGCTGTAATGCGGCCACTGCATGTTTTGTTAAAAGATCGCACACGTGTGTGTGTGTGTGTGTGTGCACACTTGCTGGTACACACAGTGGTTAGGAGTTAGTGAGTCCTAATTCCTTTAGAGTACAAGAAATATGTGACTCTTTCTTTCTTTGCTACCAGTTAGTATTCTATTCTTTTACCTGGGAACTTAGATTGCCTATGGATCTAGGTCAAGTCAATGAAAACTAATTTACTGAATGGCTTATTTGCCAAAAGCCAACTCCCCAAGAGTTAATTTGCTGAAAATCCATTTGCTGAATCATCAAATTACTGAATGGCCAATTCCCTGAACACTGTCCAACCCTTAACCATATGTAGGCTGGGTGGCCGCAGACAGTTTGCTGTCAGAGCAAGAAATACATGTAGAAGTAGACTCAGAAGGTAAGCAAAGAGTAAGGCAAATGTCTCCAAAAGTAAAGAAGATAGGAAGCTGAATCTACGAGAAAGTCTAACTGTTCACAGTTAAATGATGTCCACTTAAGAAGTGCTCTGCCTTTGAACCGTGAAATAGACAAGGATTTCAAGCCTGGGCAGGCTGCTTTGTGGTTAAATACCTGTAAGAAAGTGACACTGAAACTAAAACAAAAATCAATTTTCAATAATTTGGTAGCTCAATCATTTACAAATTGGCTGTAGCAAGCGGATTTTCAGTCAATCAGTCTATTTCCTTCCCTACCATAGCCTAGCCCTCAGGTATGCTAGGTAACACTAAGAAAAGCCCTTTTAGAGAGGGCGGCCATCTGTCCATAGAGAACGGGGCAGAAGGTGGCATCTGGTCTGACATCTACATCTCAGCCAGGGCTGGGGCAGGGAAACCTGGGAGTGGGAAGTGGGGCCCAATAGCCTGAGCTATTGGTGGTGGTCAGGTTAATGATTGAGCCAGTGGTAGCTCTCTGTTCCTAGAGGCATGCTTACCTCTAAGGCAGACCCCAAACACTGCCAAGAACAGGACACGCAGAAGCTCAGAGGAGGTAGCCTTGGTCCAAGACAATAGGTAGGGCTATGGGGCAGGATCCCTCTTCAGCCCCAGACCTCTTTTTAGGAGCAAAACAAAATTATCAGAGGCTGGGGACAGACTCTGGCGCTCAACCTGAGCTGGGGACTCCAGGTTCCCTGAATATAGGTAAACTTATTCATTAAAAAATAATTACTTTGTGCTCATAATAGTAAAAAGAAACAATATTAACTGAATATATTGAACATTCACTGTGTCCCAGACCCAGAACCATGCTGAACACTTGTGTGCATTATCTCACTTAATCATGAGAGCAACTCTATAAAGGAGATGCCATTTTAATTCCTATTTTACAAAGAGCCAAGGCTCAGAGACATTAAGAAGTTTGGCCAAGATCACAGAGCTCACAAAGAATCAGAGATTGTCTTCATATCTAGATTTGTACAGCTCCAGATCTATGATTTTGACCCAAACCTCACCTTGCCTTCTAACTATGAGTCAAGCATTGCTCTGGGTTCTGGGAACAAATCCGGCAGACCCATTTTCTTATCTGTAGAGCCATCACATGCAGTTGCCAGACCTCATCCTACTCTAGGGATCCCTCCAGGTATTTGTAGGAAAGAAGGGGCTGGGCTTTGAGAAGGCCTGAGTATGGATAGGACAGTTGTCAGCAGCAGGTGGCACTGGATTCCCACATCCTACCTGCTCAGCCTCACACTGCGGGCTTCTTTCCCAGCAAGCATTCTCTGACACTTGCTGATTACTGCCGGACAGAGTTAAGCTGGCCTGGGAAACATCTAGGAAAAAAAAAACCATGGTCAGCTAAAGGCTGGTGAAGACAAAAAGATTATGGGATGGGTAGTGGAAAATTTTAATCACTAAATATGGCCTCATGTCTAGTTGAAGAAATGAGGATTGTGATGTCTATACATATTCTTCCTCACCTTGATATGCATATATTTTTATATATTAATTAATTTCCCCTTTCTTCTCTCTCTACTGGTTGATATTATGTATGTTAGTTGGAGTTAACCTTGTAACTTTTGGCTACCCAGGAAAGCATACTAGAATTGTAATTAACATGAAGAATGAGTATCACTCAAACATGGATACAGGAACTTATGGGCTCTGGGCCTTCCCTTTTTGGGGAGAGGGTTTGTACACCTTTGTGTTAGTTAGTACACCTTTGTACTAGTTGCATTACATTAGATAGAAGCATGTTATTATTTGCAAGTTTAAATATAGGCATTTTTTCCTTGGTGTGTCATACATATGATAATATATTTTAATTATATTTTTTATCCATCTTCTTTTTGATGTTATTTTATGTGGGGCATTGTGTACAGAATATCAATATATAGAACTAGAAAAGGATTGGGCATTACACAGTGAGCCTAGATATGGAGCTGGGTAAAATACCCAATAAGGCATTGCTTTAGGGAACATGAGTACATATTTCTGGGGGTAGTTTTATTATTTCAGATGAGACCATTACTGTTGTGTGATTGGGAAGATTAAGTATAGAAGAAGGTCATGTGCTGTGTTGGACAGTTAAAGGAGTGAACTACAGTAGACATTTCTCATTCTCTTTGGCCATCCAGAAGCATTGGATATATTTCCTGTGCTTGAGGAATTTCCCACTTTATGTATCATGGTGAGAGGTAAAGACTATCTCCTCCATGGATATTTCCTAGCCTCCCTTGTAGCTGAAAATTAGGCATTTGACTCTGGCTTTGCCACTTAGTTATACTTTTCCAGACTTTGATTCAGAAGCTAATAACATAGAAAGAAATACCGAAGCATTCTGGTAGGGTTTGTGGCAGATACGTGAAGCCTGCAGAGGCAGATTTTCTCATTGTGACAGACAGTGCTTTACATCCATTGGGTCAATGAGGCAAGCTGCAATGTCTGTGCCCAGGGAGGATGGCAATGGTGACTCCACTGTTTCAGTTCTGTGGAGTAATTTGGGGGCCCTTCTCTGATGAAATACCAGGTCTGATTTTCTGGTCCTTCCAGAGTTTTCCTGTCTTTTAACACATTTTATTTCTGTTTAAAATAGCTTGACTTATTTGTTTACATTAAGAATTCTGGGCTGGGCGTGGTGGCTCACACCTGTAATCCCAGCACTTTGGGAGGCCAAGGTGGGCGGATCCCGAGGTCAGGAGATTGAGACCATCCTGGCTAACTTGGTGAAACCCCGTCTCTACTAAAAAAATACAAAAAAATTAGCTGGGCGCGGTGGCAGGCGCCTGTAGTCCCAGCTACTTGGGAGGCTGAGGCAGGAGAATGGTGTGAACCCGGGAGGTAGAGCTTGCAGTGAGCCGAGATCACGCCACTGCACTCCAGCCTGGGCGACAGAGCAAGACTCCGTCTCGGAAAAAAAAAGAATTCTGACTGCTGCAGGAAAAACAACAACCAGCACAATGACAACAAACTAGTATAGTGATCTTTGTATAATTGCCTTGTATCCAGTCACCAAATCACATTCACTTGAATTCATCATAACAGTACTTTTAAAATGAGTCTCTTCAAGGAATACTATTGTGTCATATATAAATTAATGCTAAACGACGAGTTAATGGGTGCAGCACACCAACATGGCACATGTATACATATGTAACAAACCTGCACGTTGTGCACATGTACCCTAAAACTTAAAGTATAATAATAATAATAAAAAAGATAATTCTCTTTCTTTTTTTTCCCAAGTAATATAATGGATGAAAGTATGGTTGGTAGAATTAATCAATAGTCACTATTCCTTGTGTCTGTTCAACTGGCTGCAAATGCTAGGTTCCTGTATTCCTTTACTCAGGGCTGTCCTGTGAGCAGACTAGGGATTGCTGTGGTCTAAGATAAAGCAAATTTTGGCCTGGATATAATTAGTACCAAAACTCTCTTGCCTGTACAGCTTGGCTTGGTGATGGCCAAATGTAAATACTATAAAATGTAAATGGATCCTAATGAGTAGAGATGGTTACCTACAAAATGCAGCTAAAAGTAGAATGAACCAAAGTACTTAAAGAAGGACAAGCTAAAAAACAAGACTTTATTAAAGTTGCAAAAGTCAGGAGAAAGCAGAGAGAAAGATAAGAAAGTGAACTCAGAATCAGGAACCAGGAAAGACTGGGATGAATCAGGAAAAAGACTAAAAGCAAAACGAGAGAAGTACTAGGTGGTGGGCAATGATCTGTAGTCTCCGGTTTACCTCTATTAATTATAAGATGAATAGTGTGTGAATTGCTTGAACAAACCATAGATGCCCAGAGTTTATAAACTGAACCCTTATTCCCACAGAACTAGACTCCTGCTTTGACTCTCCACTCTGCAGTTAGTTTGATCACCTGCTTAAAGCAGGGCTAAGCTCCCAAATGGGAGGAAATGTATTATTGCTCTGAATTAAGCCTGTCCTTAGAGGTGGATTGGACTATTATCTAATCATTGCCAGAAGTAGGACATTAGATCAATATTCCAAAACCCAAGTCATTATTTTTTATAAGTGTCTGCCAAAATTTAAAAAGTATATGGAAACCTTTTTACAAAGTTTAGACATTAAAGCAAGAACCGTCTGCATGAATGTGTACATGTGTTTTTGTATATGTATATTGTGTATATGAGTGTGATTTACATATATAAATCACTATAAATAAATACACACGGTAAATTTAACACTACAAAAGGTAAAAGCCTTCTTCTATTTTCAGTACTATCCCTTAAAGGTAGCCACTACTGACAGTTTCTGTGTATATTTCCTAAAAGGTTTATATAATTATAGTGTATTAATATATGTAAATATTTATACATTTGTATCCTTTCCTTTTTAATACATATAAGAAATATACTATTTATCCTTTTACTCTATTCATTTAAAAACATGAATTGGAATTTTTTCTGTGCAAGCACATATAAATGCTTCATTCTTTTTAAAAAGTCGAGTGGTATTCCATTGTGTGTGTGTCAGTCCATTCTTGCATTGCTATAAAGAAATAACCTGAGACTGGGTAATTAATGACGAAAATAGGCTTAATTGACTCACATTTCCACTGGCTGTATAGGAAGCATGACTGAGAGGCCTTAGGAAACTTACAATCATGGAGGAAGTGAAAGGAAAGCAGGCACCTCTACAGGGAAGGAGAAGAAGGAAGAGAGAGAGTGAAGGGGGAGGTGCTACACACTTTCAAACAACCAGTGAGAACTCACTCACTATCATAAGAACAGTAAGGGGGAAGTCCGACCCCCATGATTCAATCATCTCCCACCAGGCCCTCCTTCAACACTGAGGATTACAATTCAACATGAGATTTAGGTGAGGACACAGACCCAAACCATATCAGTATGGATCTGTTGAACCATATTTTATTTAACATATATGAGAGTTCCAATTGCTGTACTAAACAATGCTTAGTATTGCCAACCTTTTTAAATTTAGACATTCTCATGGGTGTAAAATGGTATTTCATCGTGGCTTTAATATATAATTTCTTAATGACTAATAAAATTGAGCACATTTTAATATGTTTATTGGCCATTTTTTCTATACTTTTTTTGTGAAGTACTTGTTCAAGTTTCCCACTTTACGTATCATGTACATAAAGCTATTGCATTTTTCTATTGCATTATCTGCGTTATTCTTATTGACTTGTAGTAGATCTTTATATATTCTGGATTTAAGCCCTTTTAAAATTATACATATATAATATTATATTGTAACTTTTGCTACATACACATATGTGTGTGTGTGTGTGTGTGTGTGTGTATGTATACATATGTAGCAAAAGTTCTCTTATTCTGTGACTTGTTTTTGATTCTCTTAACAGTATTTTTTGGAGTACAGCAGTTCCCAGTTTTAATCAGGTCTAATTTAGCAATTACTTCCTTTATTGCTAGTGCCTTTGGGTTCCTGTTTAGTTAATCTCTTTTTATCCTAAAATAATAAAAAAAAATCTTAACATTATCTTCTAGGATCTTATTGTTTTGTTTCTTTTAATTTTTTTATTTTTTATTTGTTTATTTTTTTTTGAGACAGGGTCTTGCTCCGTCACCCAAGCTGGAATGCAGTGGCGTGATCACAGTACACTGCAGCCTCTACTTGCCAAGGTCAGGTGATCTTCCTGCCTCAGTCTCCCAAGTAGCTGGAAATATAGACATATACCACCATGCCCTGCTAATTAAAAAATTTTTTTTTGGCTGGGCACAGTGGCTCATGCCTGTAATCCGAGCACTTTGGGAGGCCAAGGCAGGTGGATCATGAGGTCAGGAGTTTGAGGCCAGCCGGGCCAACATGGTGAAACCTGTCTATACTAAAAATACAAAAATTAGCTGGGCATGGTGGTGTGTGCCTGTAATCCCAGCTACATGGGAGGCTGAGGCAGGAGAATTGCCTGAGGAGGTGGAGGTTGCAGTGAGCCGAGATCATGCCATTGCACTCCAGCCTGAGTGACAGAGCAAGACTCCATTTTGGAAAAAAAAAAAAATTTGATTTTGTAGAGATGGTGTCTCCTTATGTTGCTGCAGCTTGTCTCAAACTTCTGGGCTCAAGTGATTCTCCTGTTTTGGCCCACCAAAGTGTTGGGATTACAGTCGTGAGCCACCGTGTCCATCCTGTTTCCTTTTAAATTTACAATCTGCATGTTTGATTTCTTTGTGAATGGTATAAAGTAGAAGTTAAGATCCAATAATTTTTCCAAATGTTTATCTAGTTGACCCAGCACCATGTTTATTAAAAGACCATCATATTCTCCTCCGATATGCAACATTACCTTTGTTATAAACCAAGTAGTTGTATTGTGTGGGTTTTATTTCTGGATTCCATTTTCCATTTCATTGACTTAATTACTGCTTTAATTATTTTGGCTTTTAAGTCTTGATATTGAGGAGCTCATATTAGCCACATAGTTTTTCTTTCTAAGATCTTCCTGGTTCTTCTTCCTAAGTCTTTCCAAGATTTTTATAAAATCTTTAAGAGGGTTTTCACTTTTTTTGGCCTTTTGCATTTCCATATACATTTTAAAATCAGCTCATAAATTTCTAAGCCAAATTGGAAAACCCTGCTGATATTCTGATAGGAATTGCATTGAACCTATAGATTAATTTGGGGAGAAATTAACATCTGTATAATATTCTCTTCCACTTCATGAATATGGTATATCTCTCCATTTATTTAGGTCATTTTCAATTTTTCAAAATGTTGTATAGTTTTCTGTGTAGCATTCTTGTACCTTCTTTGTTAGATTTATTCTCCAGTTTTTAAATTTACAATATTATAATTGGAATATTAAAATTTTTTTCTCTATTTGTTTGTTAGAATCTAAAGCTACCACTGCTTTTTGTATACTGACCTTTTATCTAGTGATTCTGCTAAGTTTGCTTATTAATTCTAATAGTTTGTCTACAAGTTTTTGTGTATTTTCTATTGTGTACTATGTAGTCTATATAGTAATCTGTTATGATTGTTTTATGTCTTTCTTTCCAATTCTTAAATCTTTCATTTATTGTTCTTGCTTAATTGCACTAGTTAGAATCTCTAGTATAATGTTGAATAGAAGTGGTGATAGCAAGTGTTTTTGTCTTATTTCTTTTTTTTTTTTCTTTTTTTTGAGATGGATTCTCGCTCTGTTACCCAGGCTGGAGTGCAGTGGTGCAATCTTGGCTCACTGCAAACTCCACCTCATGGGTTCAAGCAATTTTCCTGCCTCAGCTTCCCAAGTAGTTGGGATTATAGGCATGCACCCTCACTCCCAGTCATTTTTGTCTTATTTTTTAATCTTAGGGGAAAAGCTTTTAGGATTTTACTGTTAGGTGTGATGTTGGTTGTAGGTTTCTGGTATCTATAAATTAATAGATGAAGAAGGTCCCCTTCTAATTCTATTTTGCTAAAAGATTTTATTGTGAATACATATACAATTTATCAAATGATTTATCTTTGTTTATTAAAATGATCATGTGATTTTTCTCCCTTATTCTGTTTATGTGGTACATTAAATTAATTGAGTTTTAAATGTTAAGTTCCCTTTCTTGGAATATGCACATCTAGGGTTGTGATGTATTGTTATTTTTATAAATTGCTAGATTTGTAATGCTTTCAATTCTGTTTTAAGAGAGATTGGCTCGTGATTTTCTTTTCTTATAATAACCTTGTCAGAGTTTGGAATCTAAGGTTATACTTCTACATAGAACAAGTAGGGAAGTGTTTCCCAGTTGCTGTTCTCTGGAAAAGTTTGGGTGTGACTGGCATTATCTTTCTTTAAATGTTTGGAAGAATTCACCAATGCAGTTATCTAAGCCTAAATCTTTTGATAAAAGGCTTTCAGATATGTGTTTAATTTCTTTAAAATGTATAGTACAATTCAAATTTCTATTTCTTTTTTTCTTATGAATTCATTCTTTCTATCTAAATATGTAAATCAGTAAATGTACTGACAACAGATTACACATTATTTTCACTTAATTTTCTTTTTAATTCCCCTTTCCATTCCTGATAGTGGTTTCTTGTGCCTTCTTTTTTTTAATGATTAATTTTTTCCAGTGATTTATAAATTTACAAATCTCATTCAAGTGTTCAAAGGGCAAGCCTTGATTTTGAACTCTGGCTTTCTTGATTTTTCTCTGTTCTGCATTTGTTTTCCACTTCATTAATTTCTGTTCTTATCTTTATTATTTTCTTTCACTTTGAGTTTAATTTGCAGTTCTTTTTCTAACTTCTTGAGATGGATGTTTAGAGCCTTGACTTTTGGCATTTCATCTTTTCTCATATGTTCACTTAATGGTAAACAGTTTCTTCTATTCATAACTTTAACTGAATCCCATAAATTATGATATGTCATATTTTCATTGCCATTCAGTTCCAGATGTTTTCTAATTTCCTTTGTAACTTTTTCTTTCACTTATGTACTATATAGAAGTATACTGCTTAACTTCTAAACATTTGGAAATTTTCTAGTTACCTTTTTTTAAGAAGTGATTTCTAGCTTATTTCCATTACAGTTAAGGAATATACTTTGGAAGATATTAATTTCTTAAAAATTGTTGGTGCTTGCTTTATGAGTTAGTATATGACTGATTTTGGTAAATTTTCTTTTCTTTTTTTTTTTTGAGACATAGTTTCACTCTTGTTACCCAGGCTGGAGTGCAATGGCGTGATCTCGGCTCACTGCAACCTCCGCCTCCCAGGTTCAAGCGATTCTCCTGCCTCAGCCTCCCAAGTAGCTGGTATTACAGGCATGTGCCACCACACCTGGCTAATTTTTGTATTTTTAGTACAGACGGGGTTTCACCATGTTGGTCAGGCTGGTCTCGAACTCCTGACCTCAGGTGATCCACCTGCCTTGGCCTCCCAAAGTGCTGGGATTATAGGCATGAGCCACTGTGCCCGGCCTGATTTTGGTAAATTTTCTATGTGCATTTGAAAGTAATGGTATGCCTTTTGGCTCTCTGACCAGCACCATGGTGGTTGACAAGAACAAGCGCCTTACGAAAGGTGGCAAAAAGGGAGCCAAGAAGAAAGTGGTTGATCCATTTTCTAAGAAAGATTGGTACGATGTGAACGCACCTGCTATGTTCAATATAAGAAATATTGGAAAGACGCTCGTCACCAGGACCCAAGGAACCAAAATTGCATCTGATGGTCGTGTGTTTGAAGTGAGTCTTGCTGATTTGCAGAATGATGAAGTTGCATTTAGAAAATTCAAGCTGATTACTGAAGATGTTCAGGGTAAAAACTGCCTGACTAACTTCCATGGCGTGGATCTTACCAGTGACAAAATGTGTTCCATGGTCAAAAAATGGCAGACAATGATTGAAGCTCACGTTGATGTCAAGACTACCGATGGTTACTTGCTTCGTCTGTTCTGTGTTGGTTTTACTAAAAAACGCAACAATCAGATACGGAAGACCTCTTATGCTCAGCACCAGCAGGTCCTGAGAAATCCGGAAGACCTCTTATGCTCAGTACCAGCCAAATCCGGAAGAAGATGATGGAAATCATGACCCGAGAGGTGCAGACAAATGACTTGAAAGAAGTGGTCAATAAATTGATTCCAGACAGCATTGGAAAAGACGTAGAAAAGGCTTGCCAATCTATTTATCCTCTCCATGATGTCTTCGTTAGAAAAGTAAAAATGCTGAAGAAGCCCAAGTTTGAATTGGGAAAGCTCATGGAGCTTCATGGTGAAGGCTGTAGTTCTGGAAAAGCCACTGGGGACGAGACAGGTGTTAAAGTTGAACGAGCTGATGGATATGAACTACCAGTCCAAGAATCTGTTTAAAATTCAGACTTCAAATAGTGTCAAATAAAAAGTGCTATTTGTGGGAAAAAAAGAGAAAGTAATGGTATGTTTTGCAGTTTAGGTTATTGTATTTTATATATGTCAGGCGATGTATACTAAACATGTTGTTTAAGTATTCTCATTTTTAAATTTTTGTTTATTTACTCTTTCAGTTATGGAGAGAAGTATATTAAAAATTTCACACTACAGTTATGGACTCTTTTTTTCTCTTAGGTTTGTTAATTACTAAATTATTTATTTTAATGCTATACCATTAGGCACATACAAATTTATATTTTTTCAATTGTACTGATTGTTGACTTTTTGATAATTATGAAATACCCCACATTATCACTTATAGCATGTTGGTCCTAAAGTTCATTTTTTTTTTTTTTGAGACAGAGTCTGGCTCTGTAGCCCAGGCTGGAGTGCAGTGGCGCAATCTCGGCGCACTACAAGCTCCACCTCCTGGTTTCACACCATTCTCCTGCCTCAGCCTCCCCAGTAGCTGGGACTACAGGCGCCCGCCACCACGCCCGGCTAATTTTTTGTATTTTTTAGTGGAGACGGGGTTTCACCGTGTTAGCCAGGATGGTCTCGATCTCCTGACCTCGTGATCTGCCTGCCTCAGCCTCCCAAAGTGCTGGGATTACAGGCGTGACTAAGGTTCATTTTGTCTGATTTTTTTTTTTTTTTTGAGACAGAGTCTCGCTCTGTCGCCCAGGCTGGAGTGCAGCGGCGCCATCTCGGCTCACTGGAAGCTCCGCCTCCCGGGTTCACGCCATTCTCCTGCCTTAGCCTCCCGGGTAGCTGGGAGTACAGGCGCCCGCCACCACGCCCGGCTAATTTTTTTGTATTTTTAGTAGAGACGGTGTTTCACTGTGTTAGCCAAGATGCTCTTAATCTCCTGACCTCGGCATCCACCCATCTTGGCCTCCCAAAGTGCTGGGATTACAGGCGTGAATTTTGTCTGATATTAATTACTACAGTCATACCAGCTTTCTTTAAATCAGGGTTTGTATGGTACTTTTTTAAATTTTACTTTCATCTTTTTAATATCCATATATTTTGGGTGTATCTCTTGTAAAAAGTATATAATAGTTGAGTTCTAATCCAAATAATAACCTTTACCTCTTAATTGGAATATTTAATTTGTTTTAAATATAATTACTAATATATTTGAGTTTAAATCTATCATCTTACTTACTTTTTTTCTATTGGCCCCACCTGCTCTATATTTCTTTCTCTTTCCTTTCTTGCTTTCTTATAGATTCATCAAATAGTTTTTATTTATTCCATTCTTCTCTATTAGTTTGATAGGTTTATCTTTTTTTGCAGTTTTAAAAAAATGGTTACCTTAGATTCCAGTAGGCATTCTTGACTTATTAAAGCCTAGCAAAAATGATCTTCCACACTCTGGTAATTCAAGGGCTTTCAAGTACTTCGTGTATCTCTTGCCTTTTGTACTATTTATTCTCATGTATCTTAAAAATTGCACGTCTGTTTTTAAACCCCGCATGACGTCATAATTATTGCTGTTTCATACAGTCAGTGTTCATTTAGATCTCTGTGTGTGTGTGTGTGTGTGTGTGTGTGCGCGTGTGTATTTATAATATTCTTTCTAATGCTTTTACTTTCTTTCTGGAAATCTATGATTCCATCTAGAATTGTTTTTCTTCTGCCTGAAAATTTTCCTTTAGTGTTTAGTGTTTCAACATGGGTCTGTTAGGTTTTGATTATCTGAAAAAAGTATCTAGTTTGTCTTTATTTTGAAGGACATAAAAGACTTTTATGATGGCTACAAAATTTTTAGTTGGCAATTATTTTATTTATATGTGTGTATATATAAATAGTATATTATATATAAAAATATATAAATAAATATATATTCCATTGTTTCAGACATTCTCCCCCTTGTCCCTATTGGGTATCAGCAGCCCCATTTCTCTTTGATAATTAGGAGCAGGGAACCCAGCCTGTATAGTCTCCTTTGTTACTTGCTAATTCAGTGGCATGTGGAGCTCAAAATTGCCAAGTGGAAGATTCAACTTCCAGTGTCCTCTGGTAGAAACATTTCTTCCTTAGTAATTATGGGCTTTAAACCAGCAGAGCTCCCCATGGTGAGAACTGAGAGCATATATTTTGTATTCAGTAACTGGGTAAATATCTACAGAGTGGGTTTATGGACACTGGCCAACTGTGAAAATGGACTAAGGCAGAAGCTCTCTGTATCACCTGTCTTCCAAAACCCCCAGTTCGACAGTTGAACTGCAGTGGTGTTTTGAGTCCTTGGGGATTACTGTCAATTTAGAGTCAATGTCCGGTAATCTCTGACAAGCCCGGGCAGTCCCTTCTCCATGCACCATCAGCCCTGTGCCTGAAGGTCCCATGGTGGGTATGAAGGAAGAATTACTGTGCACACTTGTGGCAGTGTCCTAGGACTCTTCCACACGGGAGCTGGATTCCCTTTCAGTCAAGCAGCTCCACGTTGGTGAAGTAGCAAAACACTGAGAATTGGATGAGAGGCCAGGAATCTTTGTGCTGTCACCAGACCTAATCTTTGTTTTTTTGTTTATTGATTAACTGAACAGAAAAAAATTAGGACTTTGGTAGTCCCCAGTCTATTCCAGTCACAGGAACAGTAAGATGATTTGACCACTGACGGATATCTCCATGAGTTAAAACATTTTGAAATCATTTAAATCTGCTGCCAGTTATTGTACCCGCACCTCCCTTATCTCTGTGGTTGAGTGCCTCTACTTCCTCTATTCCTTTCAAGTATGCTCTCTGGTTCCCAAGTTGTGGGCTCTAAGCCAACAATATCAGCATCAGCTGGTAATTTGTTAGAAGTGCAAATTCTCCGACCCCACCCAGACCTACTGAATCAGAAACTTCGCAAGTGGGGCCCATCAATCTGTTTTTTACAAGCCTCCAGGTGATTCTGATGCATGCTAATGTCTCAGGAACACTGCAATATACCACCACCTCTACTGAAAGAAAGGATCCCATTTCTGTGGCAGTATCAACTAATGTCACCCCTGGCCAGTGGAGGACAGCCACTGCTGAGCTTTGATAATGATGCTGGTGTTCCTAATCAATATACTTCTTTTTTTTTTTTTTTTTTGGAGACGGCGTCTTGCTCTTGTTGCCCAGGCTGGAGTGCAGTGGTGCGATCTTAGCTCACTGCAGCCTCCGCCTCCCAGGTTCTAGCGATTCTCTTGCCTCAGCCTCCCAAGTAGCTGGGACTATAGGCACCCGCCACCACACCTGGCTAATTTTTGTAGTTTTTAGTAGAGACGGGGTTTCACCATGTTGGCCAGGCTGGTCTCAAACTCCTGACCTCAGGTTATCCACCCACCTCGGCCTCCCAAAGTGCTGGGATTACAGGCATGAGCCACAGTGCCTGGCCATCAATATACTTCTTAGTGCCTCATTAAATAAAGTTTCTCTGTGTCTTCTGGGAGACGTATTTAGGTTATGCATGAGTAGATCACACATGTAAATCCACTGCAACATTGCTATGTTTCTAATCTTTGAGTTATTTTCTCCAAGAAAATTATGCCAAAATATCTTAGCACTTCCACTTGATTTAATACAGGTCATCACTGAATCCACAGTTTAGGTTACCATTCTTGAAGTCTAACAGAGCCACTGCTTTATCTAATATTGCATCGGAATGTCTAGTTAGAGTATCCATATGGATATATTAATTTGGGATCACAATTATGTCCTTTCCTCCCTGGTCTAGTTCCCTTAGTATCCCTTCCATAAATAATCCCTAAGTATTTGCTGTTATAAATTAGCAGAAGATTGGAATTCAGGGTGTTAGCTCCTTTTTAATGTCATATTTATATCCATACCCCTAGGTTAGGCTGGGATCTGATCCTAATTATGGGTTTTCTAGCAAGAAGGAGTGGTGGGGGCTGGAGAATGAGACTCCTTTTGTTACCAGGGGGTCCTTGCTCACAGAGCTCCCAAGATGGTGGCAGGCCACTTCCAAGATTGTGGCAAGCCTCGTGTTCTCTGACCTGGGGTTCTTGGCCTTACGGATTCCAAGGAATGGAATCTTGGGTCATGCAGTGAGTGTTACAGCTCTATTAGAAGCCGTGGGTCATGGAAGAGAACCGTGGAACCCAATGACTAGTGTTCAGTTCGATTAGGATGAACCCAGGCACTTAGCTGTGCAGGAACAATGGCAAGCCTTTAGCCTCATCAGGAGTGGCAATGGGCGCCTCACTGGATCGGAAGCACAGCGGACACCCTTCCATATCTGGAGGGATGGAAGTCAGCGGCGGGTCTGCGACGGCGGCAAACAGCAGTGGTGGACGGTGAGCAAAAGCTCAGCTCGAGCTGTAATAAACATGGACCAGAAGAGTGCAGTTGCAAGATTTAATAGGGTGAAAACAGGGCTCCCGTACAAAAGGAGGGGGAGGGGACCCAAAGGGGGTTGCTGTTGCCGGCTCAAATGCCTGGGTTTAAATCCAGATCCTTGTCTCTCCCGTTGTGCCCTCAGACAATAGATGATTGGCTATTTCTTTACCTCTTGTTTTTGCCTAATTAGCATTTTAGTGAGCTCTCTGATTGGTCGGGTGTGAGCTAAGTTGCAAGCCCCGTGTTTAAAGGTGGATGCGGTCACCTTCCAGCTAGGCTTAGGGATTCTTAGTTGGCCTAGGAAATCCAGCTAGTCCTGTCTCTCACTTTCACAATTACAATCCTATTGATTACAGGTAAGATAATTGTCAGAGGCAATCAAATCAGAGCGACTCCATCTTGAAGAAGGGCTGGTCAAAATGAGGATGAGGTCTTCTGGGCTGCATTCCCAGGAAGTTAAGCATGATAAACTCCTGAATTAGGTTAGGATGAGATAAGAGGTCGGCACAAGATACAGGTCAAAAAGACCCCTGCTGATAAAACAGGATGCAGTAAAGAAGCCAACCAAAACCCACCAAAACCAAGGTGGTGATGAAATTGACCTCTGATCGTCCTCACTGCTTATTATATGCTAATTATAATGCTGATAGCATTATAATTTAGCGTGTCTTTAGCACACTAAAAGACACTCCCACCAGCACCATGACAGTTCACAAATGCCATGGCAATGTCTGGGAGTTACCTTGTATGATCTGACAAGGGGAGGACCTCTTAGTCCCAGGAATTGCCTGCCCCTTTCCTGGAAAACTCGTGAATAATCTGTCCCTTGTTTAGCATGTAATCAAGAAGTAACTATAAAAATAGCTAACCAGCAGCCCTCCATGCTGCTCTGCCTATGAAGTAGTCACCCATTTATTCCTTTACTTTCTCAATAAACTTGCTTTCACTTCACTGTATGGACTTGCCCTGAATTTTTTCTTGTGTGAGATCCAAGAACCCTCTTTTGGGGTCTGGATTAAGACCCCTTTCTGGTAACACAGAAAGACCCTGCTTTGCTTAGGGTCTTGAAGCAAGGCAGAGCTATGCAGGTCAAAACTGAGGGGACATGGGACACTTCTATTGGTAAAGGATGACTCAAAAGAATTTGAGAGTCCAAGGTATTCAAATTAATCCAAGTCTACCCAAATGACCCCATTGTCAGGATTAATTCCAACTGTTACCCTAAATTTTCTATCAGACACCTGGTGAGGGTGTGAATATCACTGACATCGTGATTCTGGCTCTTCACGCTACTTATGCTTTAAATTAGGAAATTCAGGAAACTATTATTTATCTCAGAAGTACTCAGCCACAAGAAAGGTAAAAAGTAAAGTTATTTGCAAGTCTGAAGAGAGCAGACATTCTAAAAAGGGTAGAGTCATAAACAATATGAAAGATCCAATAATAGGTTAAAGAATGTGTGCAACATTTATGCCAACGAGATTATATTCTTTTAAAAAAGTGCTTCCATACATTGATCAGTGTATTAGACAGAGTCACAGCCCCCAAGATGTCCATGCCCTAATCCCCTGGACCTATGAATAAGGCTTTGCAGATGTGATTAATGGGCTCTGAGATGCAGGGTTTATCCTGGATTATCCTGGTGGGCTCAATCTAATGTGACCTTACATGCAAAAGCCTTTTCTGGCTGCAGAGAACAAAAGAGACAGTAGTTTGAGAAGGACTTGCCTTGTCATTGCTGACTTTGAAGATGATGAGAGGGTCCAAGTCAAAGAATGTGGGTAGCTTTGAAAAGCTGGGCAAAGCAAGGAAACAGATCTCCCCTAGAATGTTCAGAAAGAAACACGATCTGGCTGCCACCTTGATTTTAGTCCAATTGAGACCGATTTTAGACTTCTGACCTCTAGAACATAAGTTTGTGTTGTTTAAGCTGCTGAGTTTATGGTAATGTATTATGGTAGCAATAGAAAACTAATACAGGAAGAAAAAGACAACTTAACAGGAGAAAAAAATCCCAGCAAAGATTAGGAGAGACAATTCACAGTGTTAGCTAATTAACATTTGAAGAGATGCTTAATCTCACTAATGAAGCAGGTAAATGCAAACGAAAAGAATGAGATTTCATTGTTCACTCATTAAATTGGCAAATGTTAAAACAATTGATAATGTTGATGCTCAGAAAACAATACCCAAAAGTATGGTGCTTTGGCATGCTGAGCACTTTGAATTAAAATAAATTGAAAGATCTTAGAAGCTGCTTCCGAACCAAGGATTTTCTAATCTTCTTTTGTTTCTCGCCTGTCCCCAAAGTGCAGGGAGAGGCTCTCTCTCTGGAATTTCCTTATCTGACTGAGGAAACTTCTCTCCAAAAGAAATGGAATTATCTTAATCCCTCTCCCTAGGAATCTCATTAAATAACCAGGAAAGATTAACCACCAGAGAAGAGGAAAGACTACACGTCATCACCATACCCAGACAGACTTTTCATCTATTTTTTTTTTTTTTTTTTTTTTTTTTTGAGACGGAGTCTTGCTTTGCTGCCCAGGCTGGAGTGCAGTGGTGCGATCTCGGCTCACTACAAGCTCCGCCTCCCGGGTTCACGCCATTCTCCTGCCTCAGCCTCCTGAGTAGCTGGGACTACAGGCACCTGCCACCACACCCGGCTAATTTTTTGTATTTTTCGTTGAGATGGGGTTTCACTGTGTTAGTCAGGATGGTCTTGATCTCCTGACCTCGTGATCAGCCGGCCTCAGCCTCCCAAAGTGCTGGGATTACAGGCATTAGCCACTGTGCCTGGCCCATCTATTTTTTTGAGGGCATCTCCGAGATTGCCTTAAAAGAGTTTATCTGCATAATTAGATGACCTTTGTTCACAGTGCAGTTCTACCCCTCATTTTCCCACAACTTGCCAGTCCCATTCAATTTCCTAAAACAATCATTTAAAAACTACTGTCTGCTCTTTGGACCCATTCCTTTCCCTTGAAAATCATTTACTACCCCCTCACCATTGCCTACATCACCCATCTTCCTCTCCCCTAAGAAGAAGGTATTTAAGCCTCAACCATCTGGCCCTTCTTTGAGTCTCATATTTCGTATGGCTTCTGTGCTTATGCATATTAATACATTTATATGCCTTTTCTCCTGTTGATCTATTTTCAGTTCATTTCAGCAGACTCAAACCTTCAGAGGGAGAGCAAAATTCTCTTCACCCCTATAGTAACAACACCCCATGGTAGTGAGAAATAAGCACTTTGAAACATTGCTGGTGGAAGTGTGAATTTCTATAACCTTTGGGAAACTAATGTGTGATGTCTAGTGATATAAATAGCACACAAATCCTTTGATTTAGTAAAATCAGTTTGGGCCATCATTCTGACAGAAATAATAGGTCATTATTTTTTCTGTAAATATATGAGGCAATTTATAGTGGTGTCAAAAAACTAGAACTAATCTGAAGGTTCATCTTGAGGAATGGATAAATAAATTATATGCATCCATAATGTGAAATATTGTGCATAAGGTAAAATTAATTAGATTTCTATACAGAGGTCTAAAAGTCTGTCCATTATATGCCATTGGCTAAAAAAGCAAGATAATGTTCATAGTATGAATCCATTGAGATTAAAAATAACACAACAAAGCACAAAATGTTTGTGTACATATATTTACATACATTTATGTTTGTATAGAGAAAAGTGTGGAAAGAAACACACCAAGCAACAAACATTGGTTATCTCCATGTATGGCATTGGGTATGGAGGGGCATGGGAGAGGGCTGGAGAATTAACTTGTTCTTCACACAACTCTGTTTAGCTTTTTACAATGAGTGCATAAAACTTTTATGAAATTAAGCTTATCTAATACAGTACATAAGATGGGGAAGAAACCATGCATTATCGAATGTACACATCTGCTTATCAACTGATGAATGACCCTTTCAACAGGTGTTTCTGGCACTACTCACTGGCCAACAGTCCAGTTTTGGCCACAGCATACCTTATTTGTCCAGGGCACCTTTATGCAGTTGCTTAAACATTTGGTGGCATTTTGTCCCTGTTTCATAAAAATGAAGGAAAGATGGAAAAAAATGAAAGTGCAGATATGTAGTGTAAGTTTTGTAAATTTAAAGCAATAAAGATGGAAATTGTTAGGCGTACTGAAATTAATAAATCTTGTTCCAGAATCAGACAATCACTGGGCTTGAACCAGTTGACTGTCTGGTTGTGAAGGAGAAGAAAAAAGTTAAGGAATAGAGGCAAAGATACTGTATCTTTTGAGAGAAGTAACTGGGGATTACAAAATATATTTATTTTTTCTTTCCGAGATGGAACCACCTATAAACACACTTAAAACATGTAGGTCTGTTGCAGGTTTTCCTCACATTAAACACGTTTTCAGGCACACGTTTGACATGTCCAATTCAAAATATTGGTCTTAATGCATCCCCTCCCCAGTTCCTCATGCATGTCCCTGATTTCTACTTGTAGTCAATCAAGACGTTCACACAATCTTCAGGCTAAGTAAGATAAGTAGGAAGGAAAATGACAAGAAATAGTCAGATTTCAGTTATTTGATTCCTCAAACAGGCTTTTAAGATTCAAAAGGGCAGACCTGAGTAAGGCAAGATACAGAATTTATATCACATTAAGACCGGAAAGAAAATAGAGGAAGTAGGAGGCCATGCCTCCCGTGCCACTTGGAAGCAGAGGGAAAGGGTCCCTGAGACTAGAGAGGAGGGGGCTAGTAGGGGGTCTTGCATGGGAGTCTGCATGTGACTCAGGCAGGGAATGGCAGCTGTTGGTCTTTGACTTGACCATTAATGGGTATGTACCTTACATTTCCTTTTGTTTACAAAATGGCTTTGCTTACTTGAGGCAACACTAAGATGCTCAATACAAACATCATTTGTCCTTTAACATTATTTGTATTTTTTTCCCACATCTTACCACTATGAACATTACTGTTCTGATGACCCATTTGCCTGCCCTATTACCCACCTCCTTAGACTCTGAAGATGGAAAGGTACAGACTGTGTCACCCACACTCTGGCTATCAGTGATTGAGGTCAGAGCTGGGCACAAGACCCAGCTTTGCTCAACTTGGAATTTACAGTGGGACTTGGAGACTCTACTTGCTGACTGCCGAGGCTGGGAGCAGATGTCATGTAGAGCTGGACAGCTATGTGCGTGGAGAAAGAGAAAGCTGTGTGGCCAGAAGACTGAAGCAGGGCTGCTGGGAGACAATGGGCTGGGAGAGAAGCGGGATCTGCTCCTGCAGCCTAGAGAGACACAGAGGGGAGTCTAGTTCCAGACTTTTCCATCTCTGGTCCCTTCTTGAGGCTAGCCTCCATCTGACAACTCTTTGCCATGAAAAGTGAAGATACTGAGAGGTGACAGCATGCTGGCAGCCCTCGCAGCCCTTGCTCGCTCTTGGTGCCTCCTCAGCCTCAGCGCCCACTCTGGCCGTGCTTGAGGAGCCCTTCAGCCCGCCGCTGCACTGTGGGAGCCCCTTTCTGGGCTGGCCGAGGCCGGAGCCAGCTCCCTCAGCTTGTGGGGAGGTGTGGAGGGAGAGGTGCGGGCAGGAACCAGGACTGTGCCTGATGCTTGTGGGCCAGCGCAAGTTCCAGGTGGATGTGGGCTTGGCGGACCGCACTCCAAGCGGCTGGCTGGCGCTACCGGCCCGGGCAGTGAGGGGCTTAGCACCCAGGCCGCAGCTGCCGGAGGGTGCGCGGGGTCCCCCAGCAGTGCTGGCCAACAGGGGCTGCACTGGATTTCTAGCCGGGCCTTAGCTGCCTCCCCGTGGGGCAGAGCTAGGGACCTGCAGCCTGCCATGCCTGAGTCTCCCCCACTGCCTTGCGCTCCTGCACGGCCTGAGCCTCCCTGACGAGCGCCGCCCCCTCCTCCAGGGCGCCCGGTCCCATCAACCGCCCAAGGGCTGAGGAGTGCAGGCGCATGGGGTGGGACTGGCAGGCAGCTCCACCTGCTGCCTGGCGCGAGATCCACTGGGTGAAGCCAGCTGGGCTCCTGAGTCTAGTGGGGACTTGGAGAACCTTTATGTCTAGCTAAGGGATTGTAAATACACCAATCAGCACTCTGTGTCTAGCTCAAGGTTTGTAAATGCACCAATCAGCACTCTGTGTGTAGCTCAGAGTTTGTGAATGCACCAATTGGCACTCTGTATCTAGCTAATCTGGTGGGGACTTGGAGAATCTTTATGTCTAGCTAAGAGATTGTGAATACAGCAATCAGCACTCTGTTTCTAGCTCAAGGTTTGTAAATGCACCAATCAGCACTCTGTGTCTAGCTCAGGATTTGTAAATACACCAATCAGCACTCTGTATCTAGCTAATCTAGTGGGGAGGTGGAGAACTTTTGTGTCTAGCTCAGGGATTGTAAATGCACCAATCAGCACCCTGTCAAAATGGACCAATCAGCTCTCTGTAAAACAGACCAATCGGCTCTCTGTAAAATGGACCAATCAGCAGGATGTGGGTGGGGCCAGATAAGAGAATAAAAGCAGGCTGCCGGAGTCAGCAGTGGCAAGCCGCTGGGGTCCTTTTCCACACTGGGAAAAGTTTGTTCTTTTGCTCTTGGCAACAAATTTTGCTGCTGTACAATTTTTGGGTCCACATTGCCTTTATGAGCTGTAACACTTGCCGCAAAGGTCTGCAGTTTCACTCCTGAAGCCAGCGAGACAACAAACCCACCAGGAGGAACAAACAACTCCAGATGCACTGCGTTAAGAGCTGTAACACTCAATGTGAAGGTCGGCAGCTTCACTTCTGAGCCAGCGAGACCGTGATCCTACCAGAAGGAAGAAACTCCGAACGCATCTGAACATCAGAAGGAACAAACTCTGGACACGCTGCCTTAAAGAACTGTAACACTCACCGCGAGGGTCTGCGGCTTGATTCTTGAAGTCAGTGAGACCAAGAACCCACCAATTCCTGACACAATACTAGGATACTTATATTTATTCTCACACCAGCTCCACTTTATAAAATTAGTTCAATTGTTTTGTTTCATTTTGAACTCATTTTAGATTTACTGAAGAGTTAGAAGGATAACAGTGTTCTTGTAAACATTCATCTGGCTTCCCCAAATGTTGACGTCTTACACAACCATGGTATGTTAGTCAAAGTTAAGAAACGAACCTTGGTACAATTGTAATACTGTTATTACTAGGGTAACCAACTCATGCAGGTTTTCTTGGGCCTTCGTTATTTTTAGCACTGAAAACTTCGCATCCTAGGAAAGCCTTCAGTTCCAGACAAACTGGGCTGTTTTGATTTTAAAACTGAGGGCAGGTGTGGTGGTGCACACCTGTGGTCCCAACTACTCAGGAGGCTGAGGCATGAGAGTTGTTTGAACCGGGGAGGTGGGGGTTGCAGTGAGCTGAGATCGTGCTGCTGCAATTCAGCCCAGGTGACAGAGCGAGATTCTGTTTCAAGAAAAAAGAAAAAACAAAGGCCCCCAAACTGAAAGTTCCATGCCCCAGGATCCCCTCAGTCCCAGCAAACCAGGACAGTTAGTCACCCATTACAGACTTTATTTGGATTTCTGCAGTTTATCCACTAGTGTTTTTTGTATTTTGTTTTTTTCTTGTTTGGTTTTCTGTTTCAGGATCCAGTCAAAGATACTGCTTTGCCTTCAGTTGTCAAGTCTCCTTAGTCTCCTCCAACCTATGACTATTTTCAGACTTTCCTTGAGTTGCATGATCTTGGCACTTTTAAACATTTATTTATTCATTTATTTATTTATTTTTGAGACGGAGTTTCACTTTGTTGCCCAGGCTGGAGTGCAATGGCGTGATCTTGGCTCACTGCAGCCTCTGCCTCCCGGATTCAAGCGATTGCCCTGCCTCATCCTCCCGAGTAGCCAGTACTACAGGCACGTGCCCCCAAGCCCAGCTAATTTTTGTATTTTTAGTAGAGACGGGGTTTCACCATGTTGGCCAGGCTGGTCTCGAACTCTTGACTTCAGGTGATCTATCCACCTCGGCCTCCCAAAGTGCTGGGATTACAGGCGTGAGCTACCACACCCGTCTGATCTTGGCACTTTTTAGAGTGTACTGGTCTAATCAGGTCTCCTTAATCTCCTCCAACCTGTGACTGTTTTCAGACTTTCCTTGACTTGCATGATCTTGACACTTTTTAGAGTGTACTGGTCAATTAGTTTGTAGAATGGCCTTGAATTTGAATTCATCTGATCTTCTCTCGTGATGAAGCTGCAGTTATGAGTACATAAGAGGTGAAGTGTCCTTCCCATCTTATCATATCACAGGGTATATGATATCAACATGACTTATTATGTGTGATGTTAACCTAGATCATTTGATTAAGGGGATGTCTCCCAGTTTCCTCTATTTTTCCTTTTCCATATTCTAGCCTTTAGAAGTAAGTCACTAAGTCCAGCCCACACTCAAAAGAAAGAGAATTAAGTTCCAAAGTCCTGAGGAGAAGAGTACCGAATAATTTCTGGACATATATTAAAACCATCAGGGTAACTAACAAATATCTTGGTGGAGATACTTTGAGGCTATTCAAATCTTATTTCTTCCGAAAGTTTTTCTTACTAATTTTTAGCATTCATCAATGATCCTGCCTGTAGCTATTGTTACTGTGGTGTGTAGCTATTGTTACTGTGGTGTGTCCTGGTAGTGAATTTCTATGCTTAGCCAGCAGATGGTGCCTCTGTGAGTGAGTGCCTGGAATATAGATGGTGCTCAAACAATGACTATTTCCTATTGCCTTTCTCCCCAGGACTGCCATGTAGAACAGAAGCATCCCATTTGGAGCACTGGTGACTGAGGATTCTGGAAGAAGGAGGCCTGGGACCTTTAATGCTATTACCCACAATTTCTCCACTGCCATGGCAGAGAACCCACCCTCATATGGAAGCACTTCCCTTCTGTTCTTTTCATTCCTTCTATTAACCTTCTCCCCATAGACCACCCACAGGCTGCCAGAGTTCCAAACTATCTTCCCCAAACACAACACTCACCATGGCCCTCCTCTGTGGGCTGTTCATTGCAAACAGAATTAAATTCTACCTTTTAATGAGGCTCATTAAATTCTACCTTTTATTGGCTCATACTGCTCCCTCCATTTTCATTTCTCACTATCTTTCTCTTCATATCTAAAACTGGAGCCACACTGCATTGTTTCTTCTTTAAAACACTCCTGCTACCCCAGGCCTCTGTGACTGTGCATAGGATGCCCTCTCCAGCTAGAATGTCTTTCCACTTCTTTCTTCCCATGGGCTTTTTCCTATTTATCCATAGCACACCTGGGATGTTATCGTCTCTGTGAAATCTTCCCTCCCTCCCTCAAACTCTAACCTCTGTGTTCCCACAGCATCTTTCACCTATTACACAAACCTCTGTTGTGGAACACATTATGTTGTTTCGAAACTTTTCTGTGTCGATTTCTGCCTTTTTTGTTGGAGTGGGAGCTCTTCAAAAGCAGGCCCTGTCTTGTTTATTTATGTAGCTTCAGCAAAGGGCCTAGCACCTAACAATGTTGCCAACATTTTTCGAGTGCCTACTTTTTACTAGCACAACAAATTACCTCACTAAATCTATAAAAGAACCCTATAAAGGAGGTATTTTTAAATGCTCCCTATTTTACATATGAGAAAACTGAAGCTCATAGAGCATAATAGACTTTCCAAGGTGACACAGCCAATAAAATGTGGAGCCAGAATTGGAATTCAGGTGTCTTTGACTCCAAGGGCCCTTCTTATAACCATGGAACAAATTGCCTCTGAGGACTATTTCTGCAGTGACACAGAGGAACTGTCCCCAACTGTAGCATCATGAAAGTCACTTTAGAGCCAGTCTGGCTGAACCTCTCATGTTAATGATGAGAAAACTGAGACCCGGAAAGGAAAGGTGGTATGCAATGGTTTCCTAACTTTGGAGCAAGAATCTTGTTCAGCGCTTAGATCTTCTGACCCCAAGGCTCTTTTCACTTTATCACACTGATAATTTGGTGAGAGGCCAGCCACACCATTTGTTTGACGAAAAAGGCAGCATCACATATAAGATCTTCTTATAGAAAATGGGCTTTATTCTTGGCCGGCCATGGTGGCTCACGCCTGTAATCCCAGCACTTTGGGAGGCCAAGGCAGGTGGATCACGAGGTCAGGAGATCAAGACCATCCTGGCTACCACGGTGAAACCCCGTCTCTACTAAAAATACAAAAAATTAGCCAGGCGTGGTGGTGGGTGCCTGTAGTCCCAGCTACTTGGGAGGCTGAGGCAAGAGAATGGCGTGAACCCTGGAGGCAGAGCTTGCAGTGAGCGAAGACTGCACCACTGCACTCCAGCCTGGGCGACAGAGTGAGACTCCGTATCAAAAAAAAAAAAAAAACAAAAAAACAGAAAATGGGCTTTATTCTCAAGTGTGAAGAGAAGTAGCTGGTAGCCTATAATAGCTATAGATTTGCACAGGAGATGATGCTGTGTCAACACAGGACCAGAGTGAAAGAAGCAAGGGTTTGCTGGGGTCTGATTTACAGACAGGTACTTAACAACAGTGTGACCTCTAACAAATTGATTCTTTGTTTTTTTCCTTCCCCCTACCCACCTTCCCCACCCTCCTCGTTTTTCTTCTCCATTTTCCTCCATTCTTTCCTCCTTTCTTTCTCTTAGCTGAGTGGAATATTCACATGATAACTCCAGCCAATGAATGTTAAATATAAATTACCAACTTAAAATCATAGCTATTAATTTATATCTACGAATGCAGATATTGAGAGGTGAGAGGTACACAGTGACTTAATAAAGTTTTGTAAACACATCTGAGCATTTATTAATCTTTTAAAATTAGCTTAGAATTTCTACATTGTGTAATTTAAAATATGAAAACTATTTTTATTTTAATAGAAGGCATACTGAAGATGGCTTCAGTGTTTAATCCAACCAAACGTTTAAATAATAAATACAAATCCTTTATGAACTCTTCCAAAAAATAAAAGAGGATATTAAACTTCCCAACCCATTCTATGAGGCTAGCATAACCCTTATATCCAAACCAATAAGAGACATCATAGGAAAATGAGGCTACAAATTAATATCTTTTATGAGTATAGATGCAAAAGTCTTCCATATAATACTGTTAAACCAAATCCAGGAATATTTAAAAAGGATTATATGCCATGACCAAGTGGGATTTATCCTAGGAATGCAAGGTTGGTTTAACATTTTAAAACAATCAGTCCATGTACTAAACCATGTGAATAGAATTTTAAAACCATAGTGATATTAATAGACATAGAAAAATCATTTTACAAAATCTCACAAAATCATTTCACTATTTTATGACATATAGAGAACAAAGTAGCAATAGAAAGGAACTTTCTTTGCATGATAAAGGGCATTGACAAAAAAATCCGTAACTGACATCACACTGAATAATGATATACTGGATGCTTTCTCACTAAGATCAGTAACAAGACAAGGAAGTTTGCTCTTATAACATCTATTGAACATTGTGCTGCAGGATCATGCCAGTGGATTAGGCAAGAAAATAAACTAAATGGCATCCAGTCTGGAAAAAAATAAGTAAAACTATAATTGCAGATGCCATAATCTTGTATATAGAAAATCTTAAGTAATCCATACACACAAAACTGTTAGAACTAATAAGTTCAGAATTATTGCAGGATTAATGTATTGCAAGATTAATGTGTAAAAGTCAACTGTATTTCTTTTTTTTTTTTTTAAGTGAGGTCTCACTCTGTCACCCAGGCTGAAGGGTAGTGGCATGATCATAGCTCACTGCAGCCTCTATCTCCCAGGCTCAACTTATCCTCCTGGCTCAGCCTCCCAAGTAGCTGGGATTACAGGTGTGTGACACTGTGCCTGGCTAATTGAAAACATTTTTTTTTTTCCAGTAGAGATGAGATCTCTCTATGTTGCCCAGGCTGGTCTCAGACTCCTGAGCTCAAGCAATCTTTCTGCCTCACCTCCCAACATGCTGGCATTACAGGCATAAGCCACTGCACCTGGCCTCAATTGTAGGTCTATATGCTAGGAATGAATAATCAAAAAATGAAATTTAAAAATTTCATTTGTAGTAACATCAAAAATAATATAAGACTCAGGAATAATTTTCACAATAAAGCACAAGACTTCTACACTAAAAACTACAGAATGTTGTTGAAATAAACTAAATAAAACCTAAATCAATGGAAGGACGTTCTATGTTCATGGATTGAAAGATAGTATTATTTAGATGGCAATACTCCTCAAATTGTTCTACAGATTCTACACAATTCCAATTAAAGTACCAGCTGTTTTTTCCCCCCAGAAATTGACAAGTTGATCTTAAAATTTATATGAAAATGCCAGGAACCCAGAATATTCAAAACAATCTTGAAAAATAAGAACAAAGTTTGAAGATTCACAGTTTTCAATTTTAAAACTGACTCTAAAGTTACAGTCACCAAGACAGTGTGGTACTGCCATAAGGATAGACATATAGATCAATGAAATAGAATTAGAATGCAGAAATAACCCATTATATGTACGGTCAATTGATTTTTAACAAGGCTTCCCAGACAATTTAATGAAGGAAAGAATAGTCTTTTCAAGAAATTTTGCTGGGACAACTGGATATCCACATGCAAAAAAAATGAAGTTGAACACCTTATCTCACACAATATATATATAACTAACATAAAATGGACCACAGATCTAAATGTTAGAGAAACTATTACACCCTTAGGTGAAAACATAGGGGTAAATCTTCATGACCTCGGGTTAGACAATGGTTTATTAAATATAGCACTGTAACTTGATTACCTCTGTAAAGAAAAAAATATAACACTAAAAGCATAAGCAACAACAACAAAAAATAGATAAATTAGATGTCATCAAAATGAAAAACTTATACTTCAAAGATACTATCCAGAAATTGAAAAGAGAACCCACAGAATGGGAGAAAATACTTGCAAATCATATGTCTGATAAGGGACTTGTATCCAGAGTCTATACAACTTAATAAACAGACAACTTTATTAAGCCATTCTTGTTTTGCTATAAGGGAATATCTGAGACCCACCCAGAGCAACTTTTACTCCTGCAAGCTCCATTCATGGTAAGTACCCTACACAGGTGTGCCATTTTTATCTTTTATACTGTATTTTTTACAGTTCCAGTTCTATGTTTGGATTCAGATACTTACCATTGTGTTATTTACAATTGCCTACAGTATTCTAACATGCTGTGCAGGTTTTTAGCCTAGGAGCAGCAGGTTATACCATATAGCCTAGGTGCATAGTAGGTTATATCATTTAGTGTGAGTACACTCTATGATGTCTGCACAATGACAAAATGGCCTAAAGACACATCTCAGAATATATCCCCATGGTTGAGTGATGCATGACTGTATATATGTGTGTGTGTGTATGTGTATACATATGTTTGTATATGTAGAATATATATGTGTATATATATGAGGGTAGGGGTAGGCTGTATTTAAGTATGCCAACAATTGAAACTTAGTGAGAAATAAATGTCTTCCAATTTTGAAAAAAAATGAGAGTATACAAGTATTTATATTAATGCTATATTTTTGAGAGTTTATTTAATCAAATAGTTTTGTGCTTTTTGAGAGCATGTTTCTTTAGTCAAGGACTTAAATGTTTCAAGAGATAAAGAGCTTCTTTTACCATGTGTGAGAACTTGGAGAAACTGTGGGAGAAATGAAAGTAAAGTATTAGAGAGGAGATAAAATAAATGCAGATGGTTGAATGAAATGCTGGAATCATGAGGATGGGCAGAACGTATTGAATGAAGAGAAGAATACTTGGGGAAGAGAAGAATGAAGAGTCCCTTAATACCAGTCAAATGAAAGTACTGGGTGTAAAATTATCAGCAAGCTGGAATGAGCAGAGAAGAACAAGGGAAATGGATGTTCAATCTAGAGACCTGCAATGCATGGTACTTGAGATAATAGCCAAACATACCCAATACCTGTAGAACTCTCTCACTGATAACTATTGAGATCGTTTGGAGCTGCGTAAGTTTCACAAGCTCCAACTCGTCAAATAATGAAAGGCATGAAGGGAAAATATTCAATGTGTTTATTATTTCTCTGCCTCCCCGACATGCACTCTTTCCTAGCTTGATATTCTACATTTAATGTTTTGTGACCTTTAAGTTTCCCACACAACAGAAGCCACTTCAGACCAAACATTGTTAATGGGCTTGTTCTCTACTGCCAATGACCAGAAGGCTGTCCCTGGCTTCCATTGGGGAAGAGGTGAATGAAGACCCAAGGTCAATGCTGCAGTACTAGTAGAAGTGACTAGTGGTTTCTGAACAGTCAGCAGACTGGACATCTGTGCATCTTCATGTTTTCTTTTAGGCAACTGGACAGTAAATGTTCCTCTCAAAGCTTTGGCAGCTGTGAGGATGGTTATTTTTGACTGTCTTTGAGATCACCCATGTGGGGTAGGATGCTGCTGCAGTCCACTACGGGGATGAGGCAGAGCTTGGCAAATCGTCTGTTGTTATTCTTCCTCCTCCATCTCCTCTTTCCAGTCTCCTCCTCCTGGTGGCCTTCTGGGCAATGTGTACTATGGGGAAGAAAGCAGCCCAGCAGCTCTGACAGAAGTATGAATCCCAAGTACTCCAAGGCTCAGGGACTCTGTGCAGGGCCAGTATTGAGTGACAATCTTGAGTGAGGCCAATCAGTATTACATCTATTGTCTCCTAACCAGTCCTCAGATGGTCTGTGCCAAGTGCCTAAGAAAAGGGGGTGTCAAATCATCTGAAACTGTGAGACAAATAAAAGAGCTATAAGGAAAAGGCACTCACAACCCCTATCTCTCACCATATAAAAATAAACTCAAAATGGATTAAAGACTTAAACGTAAGACCTGAAACTGTAAATCTACTAGAAGAAAACATAGGGGAAAAGCTCCATGACATTAGTCTGGGCGAAGATTACTTGCATATGACACCCAAAACACAGGTAACAAAAGTGAAAATAGACAAATAGGATTACATCGAACTAAAAAGCTTCTGCACAGCCAATGGAACAATCAGTAGAGTGAAGAGACAACCTGCAGAATGGGAGGAAATATTTGCAAACCACACTTCTGATAAGGAGTTAACGTCCAAAATATATAAAGAACTCGAACAACAGCAAGACAACAAATAATGAGATTAATAAATGGACAAAAGACTTGAATAGACATTTTTCAAAAGAAGACACACGAATGGCCAAATGTGTATGTAAAAATGTATGAAAAAATGCTCAACATCATGAATCATTGGAGAAATGCAAATTCAAGCCACAGTGAAATACGACTTCACATATTTTAGAAGGGCTTTAATCAAAAAGACAAAAGATAACAAATGTTGTTTAGGATGTGCAGAAAAGGGAACTCCTGCACATTGTTGGTGAGAATGTAGATTAGTACAGGCTTTCTGGAAAATAGCAGGGGGTCCCCCAACAAATTAAAAATAGAATTACCATATGATCTAGCAATTCCACTTCTGGGTATATATCCAAAGGAAATGAAATCCTTATACCAAAGAGGTATGTATACTCCCATGTTGATTGCAGCACTATTCACAATAGCCAAGATACAGAATCAACCTAAGTGTTCACCAGTGGATGAATGGATAAATAAAATATGTCTTATGTACACAATGGAATACTAGTCAGCCATAAAAAGGATGAAATCAGGCCGGGTACGGTGGCTCATGCCTGTAATCCCAGCACTTTGGGAGGTCGAGGCCAGCAGATCACGAGGTCAGGAGATCGAGACCATCTTAGCTAACACTGTGAAACCCCGTCTGTATTAAAAATACAAAAAAATTAGCCAGGCTTGGTGGCAGGCACCTGTAGTACCAGCTGCTTGGGAGACTGAGGCAGGAGAATGGCGTGAACCTGGGAGGCAGAGCTTGCAGTGAGCTGAGATTGTGCCACTGCACTCCAGCCTGGGTGACAGAGCGAGACCCCCAGTCTCAAAAAAAAAAAAGGATGAACTCCTGTCATTTCTAGCAAAAAGGTTGGAACTGGAGGTCATAATGTTAAAGTACGTCAGGGACAGAAAGACATATCCTGCATTTCACTTACATGTGAAACCTAAAAAAGGAGAGGGAGAATATGAAGATATTGGTCAAAGGGTACAAAATTTTAGTTACATGGGAGGTATACATTCAGGAGATCTTTTGTACAATGTGGTGATTATAGTTAATAACAAGTATAATTGAAAATTGCTAAGAGAGATTTTAAGTGTTCTCACCACAAAAATGGTAAGTACATGAGGTAATAGTGTATTATGATTGAGCCTTTCCACATTGTATGCATATTTCAAAACGTGTTGTCCATGACAAATATATACAAATTTTATCTATCAATTAAAACAAGTACACACACACACAAAGAAAAAGAAAAGTCACTCACACTGGTGCACCTTGGCCAAGGAAGAGAATGTCCAAAACTGGTGTGATGAAGACAGTTTGCCTTCAGAGCAATGAATAGGAATGAATAATGGGCTGGGCGTGGTGACTCATGCCTGGAGTCCCAGCACTTTGGGAGGCTGAGGCAGGAGTTGGAGAAACGAAGAAGGGAAGAGCAGCCGGTGTGCAATGGAGTGGGAAGAGAAGCCGTAGCTTCAGCCAGGAAGGGTGAGGTCCACTTCAGAGTCACAGGCCCAGGGGCTACCCAAGGGGAGAGGTGTGGATAGGGATGGCAGAGGCACGGAGTGCGGGCTGGCCAGGAGCACGTGGTATGGTTGACACTGAGAGGCAGGGTTTTGATTGATGGGGATTGTGGGGATTTCATAGCTGGGCTAAAGTCAGAGACTTGTCACTGTGACCCATATTCATGATGGCACTTTGCAGGCTGGCCTTGGGAACAGGCACCATTTCTGGCCCTGTTGGGTGCTGCTCCCTCTAATTCCTTAGATGCCCCACCCCCAAGCCTCACACAGCTTCCTCACACACGGGCATGCACTGGTCAGAACTCTGCTGAATACTTGCGGGATCCTCCACACATCTCCAGTACTCTTTCTTGGGCATCTCTGTCCTCATCAGCACTGGATCTTGTGGACTCCAGCCCCCTGGGCTCTCCCTTCTGCGCCACAGCCTTGAGCTCTCTCAAGTCAGGAAGGGCACCTTGTTGATTTCCCATCTCCTGGGGATCTCTGTTTTTCACAGCCAGATGCTAGTGTCTTGAAAACCCTTGTTTTATATGTTATCTGGATATTTGGTTGTTTTAGGCAGGAGGGTAAATTCCCCGTCACGTGCCATCTTTTCCAGAAGCAGAAGAAATCCTTTTTTTTTTTTTCAGACTGAGTCTCGCTCTGTCACCCAGGCTGGAGTACAGTAGTGCCATCTCTACTCACTACAACCTCTGCCTCCTGGATTCAAGGGATTCTCCTGCCTCAGCTTCCCAAGTAGCTGGGATTACAGGTGCCCGCCACCATGCCCGGCTAAGTTTTGTATTTTTAGTAGAGATGGGGTTTCTCCATGTTGGCCTGACTGGTCACAAACTCCTGACCTCAGGTGATCCGCCCGCCTTGGCCTCCCAAAGTGTTAGTATTACAGGCGTGAGCCACCTCACCCGGCCAAGAAACCATTTCTGAACTTGAACAAAGACTACCCCAGTGTGTGCCGCACCGACATCACTCCTCAAAGCACACTGGCAAGCACAGATGCTCTTAGCTGATATCTGTCCATCAAATCTCAGTCCACACGTCACCTCCCCAGCCTGTTCTTGGCCCCCTGAATTCAAATTTGGCCCTCTGCTGCTGTGCCAAGCTCCTTGGGACCCCTGTGTTGTGCTCACTGGACTTGCCTACATCTCCCCAGGCCTGAGCCTCTGCGCTCATCACTCCCCTCCTGCTTAGCACAGGCAGGGGCCAGGTGTGGACTCTGCAAACAGCGGTCCAATGTGTGAATGAATGATTGAAGGAAAAACCATAGCTTCCTGCTCAGCTGAGCCTTTTGCAGACTGGGCAGGAGACAGTTTCAGGAAGAAAATGAGCTGTTTTAGGTCTGGCCAAGTTTTCCTGGAAGAAATTCCTTCTGGGAGCCACAGTTTCTGGGCTGGTTGTCTATGTTTAGGGAGTTGTGCCTGGGAAAACAGACTGACGTTTTATAGAGAAGATTTTGCCTTTTTCGTTGCTGGAATGTTTTCACATGATAAAGGCACTGCCCAGTGGGGGCTCAGAATTGTAGCTCTTGAAGAAAGATCTGCCTTCATGGCCGTCTTCTCTGTAGGAGGCAGGGACGTGAGAGCAGATTGGTGAGTGTTCAGTATGATAGCTGATGTCCAGGAAAATGTTGGGAAATGCATTACTGATGGCAACAAAGCCAGGCTCCTCAGGGAAGAGGGCTTGTGCAGAGTGATGTGAACTGGGGAAAATAAAGAGAAAGTTGAGGGTTGTTTTCAGGCATGGCAGTGTAATCCAATACTATTTGTGACACAGAGGAAAGGGTGTGGCCTTGTGTCAGATGAAGCTAGATGTAAATATAAGAACATTTAAGCTCATGGCTTCCACTCTTGGAGACTTAGTTTTGCCATCTGATAAATAGGTTGCCTAGACAAGGGAGATGATGGATGGGAAGCATCAGCTCAACACAGTGTGGGCTCCGTTCCTCTCCCTGCCTCTTACCCTCTCCCTCTCTCTCACAGAAGATGAGAGAAGAGGAGCACCAGGCATATCTGTTTCCAGAGCAAATCCTGTGTACCAGCCCATCTGGAACTTCAGGGAGTGGATGACATGCTGAGGCCTCCTTGTAATTCACTGGTTGAGAAGACTCAGCCCAGAGAGGTGTGAACATGAGCAGTTTTATTTTCCCCCAGACTCTTCTTTCATCTATGCTCTGTTGAATCTCTTTCCCATCCCTCACAGCATCCTGGTAAGATTCTGTAACTTTCAGGTGTCTCTTGGATATTAAACTTTAATCTAAAATTACACTTTCAATCTCAATCTTGATTTAAATCTCATCCCCTTGGAATATAGAAGATGTTTTTGGCAGGAGCCCTCATCACTAATTTTCAGGCAAAGGGAAGAATGTCACTTCACTGGATGTTTAACCCCTTTAGAGTCAAGGTCAGGATGGGCTCCTGGGAGGCAGTCAGAGGCACTGTACTTCTTTCGTGTCCCTCAGCTGCTGGTGGCTGCCCAGGAAGGAGGAGCTGGCTTGGGGGCAGGAAGATGGTTGTGGGTGGGGAGGGAGCACTGTTTCTTGCTCTCACCCCTCATCCCCAGACATGTGCTCTCCATCTGGGGGTTTGCAAACATTCTTAAAGGCTGCTGAAATCTTCTTTACCCCCGAGTTCTAACTGGATAGTCCAGTAGCCTAGCTTCTTGGGCCACATCTACAGCTGAACCATCGGGATACCTGCCTCTCAAATATTGGAGTCTCCGATTCGGAGCCCCACCTCCCCTTTTAATGTCTGCTGGTTCTTGGGGAATCTGGTGAAGGCCCCTGGGAGGCCATTTGATCATCTTTTCTCCCACTATCAGGTACCCATGCTTCTTCCTCAAAGTCTTCCATTCTGGCTATGCTGGGGCTCCTGTCACTGTCCAGTGTGGTGTGGTGTGGTGTGAGCCCCCATTTCTTTCCACCTATTGCTCCTGAGATGGAGTCCACTTGTCTGACCATCCCTCCAGGCAGGCTGGGTCCGGGCTGCCGAGTGGGTTCATGGTGGCACACGTGGGACAAAGGAGGGTGACCCAAGGAGCACAGAGCCAAAGGCACTGTCGTCCAAGGGCAGGGAAGAGAGTGAGAGTGCAGTTCTCTGAAAGGCACAGGGAAGACCCTGGGGAAGGAGTTCAAGGAAATAAAATGGTACTGTTCTGGCTCCATGCCCCAAACTATCTCAGAAACAAGCTGGTGAGGGCCACTTTCTCTCACTTCCAGGAGAGATTGGCTTCTGTCAGAGATGCAGAAGGCATCCCTTCCATTCCTGTGAAGGGCCTCAGTCAGCCATGGCTCTCTCCCGTAAGACCCGCAGTGTGTTAAACGCAGTTGCCGTTTTCCCCCACCCAGTCACAGGCACTGCTCTGTCCAGATGTGCAGCAGCTTTGTTCTCTTTGCCACTCCTGGGAGGCTCTTATTTATTTATTTATTTATTTACTGATATGGAGTCTCGCTCTTGTCGCCCAGGCTGGAGTGCAATGGCGCCATCTGGGCTCACTGCAACCTCCATCTCCCTAGTTCAAGCAATTCTCATGCCTC
The DNA here is from genome assembly GCF_000001405.40 of Homo sapiens. NCBI lineage: Eukaryota > Metazoa > Chordata > Mammalia > Primates > Hominidae > Homo > Homo sapiens. The sequence goes on from NC_000010.11 coordinate 84,585,849, forward strand.
AGCCTCCCGAGTAGCTGGGATTACAGGCGCCCACCATCATGCCCGGCAATTTTTGTATTTTTAGTAGAGACGGGATTTCACCATGTTGGCCAGGCTGGTCTCGAACTCCTGACCTCAGGTGATCCGCCCGCCTCAGCCTCCCAAAATGCTGGGATTACAGGTGTGGGCCACTGCGCCCGGCCCCCACATTTATATTTATGGTCACGTCCACACCAGACATAAAACAATCTCATTAAAAAAAAAAATCACTGAACTCATATCCTTTGAGGGCAAAACCACCCCCTCTCACCATCTACACACCGACTTTAATCTTGGTCATTCAGTTTCTTTTGATTTAAAACATTGTTGATTTGGTTACGTATTTCACCAAATTCAGACCTGACCCCTTACTCTCCTTTTTTTTTTTTTTTTTTTTTTTTTTGAGACGGAGTCTCGCTCTGTTGCCCAGGCTGGAGTACAGTGGCACGACCTTGGCTCACTGCAAGCTCTGCCTCCTGGGTTCACGCCATTCTCCTGCCTCAGCCTCCCGAGTAGCTGGGACTACAGGCGCCCATCACCATGCCCAGCTAATTTTGCTTTTGTATTTTTAGTAGAGACGGGGTTTCACCGTGTTAGCCAGGATGGTCTCGATCTCCTGACCTCATGATCTGCCCGCCCTGGCCCCCCAAAGTGCTGGGATTACAGGTGTGAGCCACTGCACCCAGCCCCCTCCTTCTCCTCTTATCCTTGCATGCGGTGTGAGGGAAATTCTCAGTGCAGTTTCCTGTGTTGTCCTTGTTTTGGAGCAAGGTTGCAGGCCAAGGCTCAGGCAAATCCCAAGAAAGCAGGGTCTAGCAAGACATTGTCCCTCAGTGGACACAGACAGCTGATAATGAAGCCATCTTCACCTTGGCTGTAGGCGTTGCTCCACCAGACTGCTGGGCTCCATCCCACCTCTGCCACCATGGAAAAAATCAGCTTCCCAACCTGAGCCCTGACTCAGTGCCTCCTAAGCCAGGTTCTAGTGGTAGCACCTGGTTGGCCACACTCCAGCTACACGCCCACCCTATGGCCAGCCAGTGGGGGAGGGGAGTATCTGTCCCCTTCCCTACTAACACTCATGTTTTCAGAGGTAGAGCTACCTCCCTTCTGTTTTGGGATTACCACAAATAGAAAAAAGGTTTGGCTTCTGAGTAGCCAAAATAAAAAACATCTTCCAGAGCAGGATAGGGCCTGAGCCAGCCTCTGTCCGACCACCCCAGTCTCTCTCAGCTCCAGCAGAGCCTGGAGAAAAGCCAAGACATTTTCTACAACCCTAGGAGAAGGAGGCAGATGGTGGCTGGGGGTTTGTGTGCCTGCCAGAGATCACGGCAGAGCAGGGCCTAGTCTTGCTAAGGACAATGGTGGGCATGGCTGAGTGTCAGAGGGCCAGTAGTGCAAGAATGATGCTAGGCATGTCTGAAGAAGGAGATGGGTCAGCTTCATGCACCAGCTGCAGACCCTCAGCAGTGGCATCTGCAAAAGCAGAGGCCAACAACAGTCAGAGATCTCCATGTTGACCTCTCAGCTGAGGACTGTCCACTATGGGCATTCTCACTGAGACCCTGCCAGAGATGATCTTTGGTTTAGTTAGCTAAAGATACTGTTAATTTTTCTTAGTTAGCCAGAATTGGCTTTTATTGGGTTTGAAACCAAGAATCTTAATAATTGTGTTGCCCAAACGTGCCATACCACCAGCTCTACTCTCCCGGGGCTCCCATGTTGCTGAAAAGCTAGTTGAGGCAATAATCTCCTTCCAGAATTTTAGATGGGAAGTGGGGCAGCCTACTGCACTGTGCGAGCCTTCAGATTCTTCCTCAATATAACTTGGCTCTCTCAGTCCCTTAAAAGGGACCCAGGTAATGTCCATTCTGTGTCTCCCCACTTACAGACCCTGCTGATGACCCTCGGCAGGGAAATGGTTCTGAATCCTAGCCTGAGACCCTCTTCACACTCACCTCCTCCACTCTTGGACTTTAACAACTCCATGCTATAGTCTCAGATCTCTGGCTCCTGATCATTTAACTCAAATCCTTTGAAATTCAAAGGAAAACCAGTCCTCTTTTAAGCACCCAGCTCTTGGAATTGAGTTCAAAGGCAAGAATTTAGCTCTTTGTTCTGGTTTGACTCTTCCCTTCCTCCTCCCTGCAGGGTGGTGCTGGGAGAAGCTAAGGCTCCCTGAAAGGTGGTGAAAGGGTCATGGGACAGGACACCTGGGAGCAGCAGTCCTTTAGTATCTAAGACATTATACTACTACATTTTCCTTTTGAAGTTAGGTTACATTTTATTAATTATCTCTGGAGGCCTTATTAAATTTTGAAGATTACGGCATGATATTGTTAAAGATGGCTTTACATATGATAACACATTTTAGGATCAGATGTTAAACTCAATCAAAGGACATTCAATCCCAGATGGAGATGCATTTGCAGGAAAGCAGCTCATGACCTTTGCAGCCAATGTGGAGGAGCCCAGCGTCTCTGCTTCCCACACCTTCCCTGCAGCCCCCACTCAGCAGGTTCCTTGGCTGCTGCTGCCCTGCTCACTGACTGTCCTTACTCTTGCCTCTCCCAGGACAAGCCTCTGGGATCTGCAGAAAATAAATTTGTGGCAACAGTGTAGCCACAAAAAGGAAAAGTAGAGCCCCAGTAGAGGAAGACAGGGCCATGGGTTCTTGGTGAAGGAGTAGGCCCATGCCAATGGACACATAACAGAGGCCCGTGAATGACTTGCTGGGGCCTCAGAGGGAGTGGGAGGCCCTGGAGCTAGGGGTCGGGGGAACATTCCTGGGCGGCTGCGGCTGGCAACAGGAGTGAGTTCTGACCCAGTGGGCAGGAGAAATGGGCTTCCTAAGGACAGTGTCCAAAAAGGTGGTCCTCATCAGGTCCGGGTCTGGCTTGGATGGCTCCTGCTCCACTTTCCTCTTTGCCCAGCAGGAAGTGCCTGAGGCTGTGACTGCCTCAGAGGCTGTGATAATGGAGCAGGCAGTGATGCTATGGTGGGTGGGTTGGCTCCTAAGGAACAAGCTCAGACCTGGACAGAGAGGACTGGGCAGGTGGGCAGTGTGTCAGCCCCCTTCCAGGATCTGGTGTCTGGGAGAAGAATCCCCTCTGCAGGGAACAAGATGTAGGGAGATGGTGGCTCTGAGCATCCAGGGTTTCAGATCTCACATCAGGATGCCTAACAAACCCCAGGGCTCAGCCACTGCAGTTCGGTGTCCAAAAGAGGCTGGCCTTCACTGAGGCCTGGCACCTCTGTTCCTGCTGGCCTGGTGCCAGGTCCCCTGGTTTTCCTACTCACTTGTGAAGGGATGTGTGTAGGCCAGCAGAGTCCCTCCTCTGCCCTGGGAGGCCCTGCACAGATGGAATCCAAGGTGGAACCCCTCCTACCAGCCCCCTCATCCCTGGTGTCTCAGAGGGAGGAGGCCCCCAGAACTGTCCTTGGGAAAATTCAAGCAGGAACTTCGTGTCCAGTCCTGCATTCATTAATAATCACTAAAAATAGCAGAAAGCAACTCAAACCCAACCATTTCCCTTAGGCTAAATGAGCTTTTCTCTTTGCATTGGGTCTGACTCTAGGCCTGGACCACAAAACTCAGAAGTCTGGGGAGTAAGTGTGGGTTTCTAGGACAAGGGCATCTGTCAGGTGGATCAGAAGGAAGAACAGATGCAGGAGTGCTCTGTTCCCCCAGGTGGGAAGGGGCATGGTATGAGGATGGAGGGATTTTGGGAAACTTCTCCCTAGGGTCCTGAGGAACTCAGTCCCCCACTCCTTGTCCTCATCAGTGGTGATCATGGGATTGGGACCGAGAAGACAGGGGCATGGGGCTGCTGCAAGGGAAGCCCACAGTATAGGGACTTGCGTCTCCAGTCCTGGTTAACCTCTGGCTCTGGGCAGCCTCAGGCCCACTAGGCTGGTGATGGCATTGGGAAAAATGGCAGAGTAGGATGCTTAAACAAAGAAACAGCTTGAGACACTTTTCCTGGTTCCCTACTGGCTGTGCGGGTGTAGGGAAGGTGGCTGAGGACACATGGGGTGTGGCTGAGAGGCCACAGGCCTGTGGAGCTAACAGTGGTCTCCTCTGAAGATTTCAGGGGCCAACGCTATTCAACACCCCCTGCCCCCACTCACCCAGAGGAAACCAGTGAGGACCTGGAGGGCAAGTGCATACCTCAGGTCTCCCCTCCACAGCCACAGGGACTGTCAATCCCAGTGACCTTGGCTAGAAGGCAGAGGAGGTGACCTGTAAGACCATCCTCTCTTCCCTGGCTAAAGCCACACCTGTGCAAGGATGGGGAACCAGGGAGAGCTGCCTCATTAGCAGAAAGGGACATTTCAAAGAAGATGAGGACAGAGAGGGAAACTAAGACTGCTACTTCTTATTTTCCACTGTTTCCCTGCTCTGATCTCAGGGTGGGGTTGGCATGTCCCGGGCCCCATGGATCAGTTGCTGCTGGGGTCAGCTCCATCCTTAATGTCCCCAGGCTGACCCGGAGGGGTGGGTAGAAGGCATTTCAGAAAGAAAAGCTGAAACTCAACCCTCATGATGAGAAGCCTTAAGCATTTAGTTCTAGCTGGAACTCAAATACCTAAAAGGAAGCCCAGAGAATCAGAAAAGGGAGGCCGCTTTTTCCTCCCCAGTCTCCTTCCAGCTGAAAGCAGCTTTTAGTTCTGCACTGCCAGCCACCTGAAACAGCAAACCCCAGAAAATGATTTATTCTCTGAAGTTAATGATCTGGAACAATAGATTGCCCCAGTCAAAAATCAATTTTTATTATTTGGAGAAGGGGCTGGATAAAGTCTCCTTTTCACTATCAGGCCCGGAGACGACAATCCTGAATTACGATTGTTCAAGGACAAAGCCTCGTTTGGACTGTGGTTTGGGCACATTCGCAATTTTTTCCTTTCATTAATTCTGAAAGCTTAAATCTGTACTTAGTGATGACTTGTGTAACTCTCACTTAAAATAAATCAGTTAGATTTGGTTTCCACCTAGAGAAGAGTGGCCGGGCACTCTTGGATACAATTCCGAATGAATGGTTATTAAGCGGGTTGTTTGTTTCCTTGAGACTGCCCAGAACACATTGGGCTGGCACTGAGCGTTCACAGCAATGGGCTGCCCTCGCTCTTGTAAGGCAGTTGGAACTAGTCCCAGGGCTCTCGTGAGCTGCAGTTCACTGGGTTTTTATATCATGCGGTGATAGGGAGGAGGAGTTGGTGGCTCCTGCTCACCAGAGGAGGAGTTGGAAACCCAGGGGAAGGGGGCAGCCTGGCCAGAGGCTGCAAAGATGGTGCCAGCTGCAGACCCTGCACTGTCAAAGATGATGCCTTCTCCCGCCTGGTGCTCTGAGGCCCCTCCAGTGGTTCCCTTGGACTGAAGAGCCTTAATCACTCTCTCTTTCCATCAGAGCCAGGTGTCCAATTGTCATTCCTGCTACTTCTTACCTTGTCATGGCTCAAAGCTCCTTGGGACCCGGCTTCTACCTTTGCTCCTACTCTGGCTTCCTACTCCCCAGCCCCAGCCCCTTAATCCCACAGACCCTCCATGAGCAGACCATTCACACTTCCATGTCTTTGCTCCTTCTACCCCCTGCCAGGACTGTTCCTGCTCCTTGACTTTAAATCTGGAGCAGTTGTCACCTTGTGAAGGGCTTGGTGTCTTCCTCTCACCTGGGTGGTGTGTGGCCCCCTTGGTCCCCCCATATAACCCCCATATGATCTTGCATCAGAGAGGTTCTCCCAAGGCCACAATCCTTTCTCCCTACAAGGCTCTGATTTTTTTTAATGGGGTATCACTTCATCACCCAGGCTACAGTGCAGTAGCATGATCAGAGCTCAGTGCAACCTGGACCTCCTGGGCTCAAGTGGTCTTCCCACTTCAGCCTCCCAAGTAGCTGGGACTACAGGTGCACACCAGCATGCCAGGCTAATTTTTGTATTTTTTTTAGGGATGGTTGTCTCACTATGTTGCCCAGGCTGGTCTTGAACTCCTGGCCTCAAGCAATCATCCTGTCTTGGCGTCCGAATATCCTGGGATTACAGGCGTGAGCCACCACACCCAGCCTGGCCTCTGAGTTCTTAAAGGCAGCTCTGACTACTCTCTGTGTTCTCATAGCTCAGAGCAGTGCCTGGTCCACTCTTGGGAGGTGCTCCATAGATAGTGAATTTGTTAAACACTGGAAGCAGCATGGCTTTATTTACATTTATTATAAGCCATGAGAAGAGCCTGGCAAACTTTCTTAAATAAAACTAAATTGTCTTTCATGAAAACTCACTTCTGAGAGCCACAGGTAAATATGTGTTTGTTTATTTAAGATGAAAACGTGATTCTCTTGACTGTGAGTGCTAACCCAGAAGGCTGATTAATATCAGCTACACTCAATCAATCAATCATAATTTGAACACTTTACTTCTTGAAAATGGAGTTTCTTTCAAGAAAAAAATATTGAAATAGGTATTGTTTATTTAAGACTTAGCCCTAAACATAAAAAACAATCTTGCAATTTTAGTTGACCGTTAACTTAATGTGAGCTCCTGTGTGATGTGACTGTTAGGAATATACCGTGAATGTAGGCTGCATGAGGAGAAATGGACATGCTTTTGTGGTAGAGACTTTTATCTTTTTTACTTTACCTTGGAAAATATCTGCTCTGTGATAAGCGGAATAATGCTTCCCCCACCAAAGATCCCCATGCCAATTCCTGGAATTGGTAAGTGTTACCTTACATGGCAAAAAGGACTTTGTGATGAAGATTTAAAAATGTGGTAGGAGAGATTATCCTGAATTACTGTGTGGGCCCAATCTAACCCCGAGTCTCTAAAAGCTGAGAACCTCTCTTGCCTGTGATCAGAGAGATGTGAAAATGGAATAAGGGTCAGAGAGGTGCCATGTTGATGGCTGAAGATGGAGAAGAAATCACAAGTCAAGGGCTGTGGGATCCTCCTGAATCTGGAAAAGGCAGGAAAACTGATTTTCCCCAGAGCCTCCAGGAAAGCGGCTCAGCCCTGCCAGCACTCCAACTTTAGCTCAGTGACCCATGTTGGACTTCTAGCCTAAAGAACTGTAAGATAATAAATGTGTGTTGTTTCAAGCTGCTAACTGTGGTAATTTGTTGTAGTAGCAATAGGAAACTAAGATCACTTCTATTAAATCTTAATTAATCAATATCATGAGGGCAACAAAAAGTAGGGGAAGAACAAATGAATGTTTTCTGAGATCCTCCCTGGAGCACTCAACACACTGACCTTGACCTTTTCTGAATTTCAAACTTCTTGTCATCTGTGCTATTCATTTGGCGTTAGATCATGGGCCATTGTATGTGGTTATAGCCTATCTCTTTGTCAAATAAAGGCCTGTCCCTCCTGCAAGAGGCTTGGTCCTTGGGACCACAGCTCAGTGCCTAACGTGGAGCCTCTTCCCTCTGAAATGTGAGGTGCTCACCCCACATTTGTGTGTGATCCCTATGGTCCCCAGGACCATTAGCATGCACTTAACAATAAAATAGCTTCAATATGTATAGTCTGAATGCTGGTGGCTGTTTACTCCCACAGTGGAGGCAGGATCTCAGCCTTCCATGTATGCTTAGAGATCTTGGAGTTCCTAGGAAAGTCAGGTGGGCTCTCAATCGGCCCAGTCCTTTTGTCCTATTCTGGTCTCCAAGTTGAATTCCTTCTGGCTGTTGCTTGAGAGAGGCCCCTCCACTCCCTCGCCTCCCTGCCCTTTTATAAAGCCCCAATTCTCACTCTGGCTGCTGCTTCCCAGAGCTCTCCAAATAGCATTGCTCCCCAAGGGGCTCCACATTATTGCATATGCTTCTGTCTTCTTGAATTCAAGTGGGCCGTGTGCCAGGGAGAAGTGGGGCCCCCCCCCTTCTGTGCCACTTTTTCATCCAGGCCCCGGGAGCCCCGCCTGTGTCTGGAGCCTCACAGCGTACTCATGAAAGCAACTCTCGGCTTTTACTTGCAGTCACTTTTTCCCTGCAGGGTAAGCTAGAATCAAGCTAGCCTTCATTTGTTCATTTCTATTTTTCGCTCTTGCCTAGAAACCCATGTGCCATCCATGCAAATAAGCCCTAGGACAGGGGAAGGGCTTCTGCTGATGGAAGAGGGAGCTGGCTTGACCCCAAATCCCAATTCGAAAATGGTGAGGACCCAGGTTGTGCCATGCATACCCTAGCGCATGCCAGTAGCTTTCGATCTTTAGAAGCTGATTCCATGAATCCTTTGAATTTTCCTGTTTAAACCTTTTTGCTCATGCCTGAGACCCATGTATAAGATTATCAGACACAAATAGGTTGGGCCAGAAAAAAATGTCAGTTGGAGTCTGCAGATGGCACAGAGAGGAAGACCAAAGCGTGGGTCACACTGGCGAGGCACAGGTGTGTGGGGAGCGCAGGGTGAGAATTAAAAAGTGGCCCCAAGTTCCCGGAGTGGGCTTCATGTCACGGACTTGGTGACCTACCCTGCGTGTGGGTCTATTATTTTATTTTTATTTTTTTGAGACAGAGTCTTGCTCTGTCGCCCAGGCTGCCGTGCAGTGGCGCGATCTCCGCTCTCTGCAAGCTCCACCTCCCGGGTTCACGCCATTCTCCTGCCTCAGCCTTCGGAGTAGCTGGGACTACAGGCGCCCAACACCATGCCAGGCTAATATTTTTGTATTTTCAGTAGAGGTGGGGTTTCACCGTGTTAGCCAGGATGGTCTCAATCTCCTGACCTCGTGATCCACTCGCCTCGCCTCCCAAAGTGCTGGGATTACAGGCGTGAGCCACCGCCCTCGGCCATGTGGGTCTATAGATTCTCCATAGTTTCTACTTGGCGGTGCCCTGCGTAGCTTTCTTTTTTCTGTCACCTTGGTCATTGCATCTGCATTTTTAGCACTGTCTCTAAGTTTTCTCTGAATCTGAGTCTTCCCTTTATCACCATGGCATCTTATTCCCATTTTCTTTGCTGATCACTGTTTTCAGTGGGAGGGACTCTTGCATCCTTGGGGCACTTTATGTGTGGGCCTCTTTTTCAATAATTACATACATCATCTCATTTTTCATAACAGTATTTTGAGGTGGGTAAGAGAGATTAACCTGCCCAAGGAACACAGCTGGCGTGAGGCCGACTGAGGATGCCAGTCCGCTTGGTAGGTGGGCTTCATGCCCCCTCCCCCTCCTCTTGTTAGTGACCAGTGACTATTGACATCTTTTATGTAGTAGACATGGATACATTTCCGGCTGTAGTGGCTTCTAAATTGTGGAATATTAGTCAGGAGATGAGTTCTGCTGAGGGGCACTCAGCAGTTGGTTCCTCTAAAAAGAAGATAAGACATTTAGAAAGACGTCTGCAACAAGTGTTGCACAGGGATGGGAGTTACTAATCCAAAAAAATTGAAATAAGAGGACACTTTTAGGCGATGCTTGAACATGGTATAGATGTTACCTAGATGTTAGGTAGTGGAGAGGTGGGCTAAGTTGGAGACTCAAGCTTGTATCTGGTCATGGAGAGCTGTAAGCATTCAGTCAAGGAGTTTTGACCTTTGGTATAAATCTTATTTCACAGCAACAGGGTATGACATGCCATATTCCTTTATTTCTCTTAATCAGATTAAATTTGCTCTCAGACTTCACCTATCTGGCTGGGAGGATACCCAGTAGCAATTACTAATGAGACTTCTTCCTCTCCACCATGGTGTCATCAAAGGATCTGAAGCTTATCTGGTGTCGGAAAAATTTAGAGAGGACCCAGGTTCCTCTTTCTCATGTGATCACGATTGTTCCTCTGGCTACCTAATACAGCTGAGGAGTAATTGTCCCCTCCTTCTGGCAAAAATACTTCCTCTCAGGGCCTGGCGCAGTGGCTCATGCCTGTAATCCCAGCACTTTGGGAGGCCGAGGCGGGCAGATCATGAGGTCAGGAGATCGAGACCATCCTGTCTAACACAGTGAAATCCCGTCTCTACTAAAAATACAAAAAAATTAGCAGGCCATGGTGGCGGGCGCCTGTAGTTCCAGCTACTCGGGAGGCTGAGGCAGGAGAATGGTGTGAACCCAGGAGGCAGAGCTTGCAGTGAGCCGAGACTGCGACACTGCACTGCAGCTTGGGCAACAGAGCAAGACTCCATTTCAAAAAACAAACAAACAAACAAACAAAAAAACTTCCTGTCTGCTGGCTTCTGCTTTTATCCTGAAAGTTTTCACCTTCATCCCCTCCTTTTACATGACCAGCTTTAGTTTAGGATTGCATTCACACACACACTCACACTCACACAAAACTCTTAAGCTTCTCCAAGAGTAGGGAGAGGTAAAGATAAGGAGAGCTCAGAGTTTTAGAAATAAAGCTGGGCTATCTTTCCTGGAGTGGAGATTGGGCAAGGAGGTACTAACACTAGTTAGTTTCTGTCTTAATAACTCCTTTAGGTATTGAGCTAGTCCATGAGATAAGGCGACCTCTCTAGAAATTCTTTTTTTTTTTTTTTGAGACAGAGTCTCGCTCTGTTGCCCAGGCTGAAGTGCAGTGGCACGATCTTGGCTCACTGCAAGCTCCACCTTCTGGGTTCAGGCCATTCTCCTGCCTCAACCTCCCTAGTAGCTGGGACTACAGGCGCCCACCACCATGCCTGGCTAATTTTTTATATTTTTGGTCGAGATGGGGTTTCCCCATGTTAGCCAGGATCCTGACCTCGTGATCCACCCGCCTCTGCCTCCCAAAATGCTGGGATTACAGGCGTGAGCCACCGTGCCCAGCCCCTTTCTAGAAATTCAGAGTAGGAAAGTGACAAGTTAGTGATGGTCTTTGGGAAGATCAACTTGGCATTGCTCATTTTCTGGTTTGCAGTGGCAGAAATGGCATCTTTCCCCAGTGCCTAGCACAGGACCTGCCCTGCAGTCAGAGCTTGATGCGCATTTATTCATGCATGTGTGCATAAAGTAATGGCAAACTATTGCAATGGTGCAGAAGAGAGAGCCAGTCCCTGAGTGATGAACATGACAATGCAAATGGAGACAAATTGCCCAACATAAAATTTCAGAGAAGTGAAAAGACTGACTAGAAGTGAGGAGTGATGGCTGCAATCTCTGTTTAGCTCCCTCCTCCCCGAAATGGGGCTATAATCGCAACCCTCTGCTGGCCTCCAGTTTCTCTGTACTGTGGCTCCCAGCACTTACAGGTACTTGCAGCAGGCAGCAGCCAGAACAGCTGCCTAACAGACACTTCTCCCTGCCCTTGGTGGCTTTTGAATGTGGAATCTGTGGTGGGCTTTGAATCATAGATGTATGGAATTGAGGAGCTGGGGGCTGGGGGACAAGAGGAGATGGAAAAATATGAAAATGATGAGTGAGGGTTCTCAGCGAGAGTGGCATTCTTGACCTCGTAGTCTAAGCTCCAGGCTCTGAGAATTTTAGGAGTAATGTAAAGACAGAGGAGTGGGACCAAGGCAGGCACTCAGGCCTGCAGACTGAGCTAACAGGTGCTGGAGTAGCTGGGAGGCACCAGCTCTGACTCAGCAACTCCTGCTCCTGGAGCCCTCATTGGCAGGGAGCTTAGGGCTGGGGAGGATGGTCTCTGCAGAGGACAGAAGATAAGATAGGCTGACACCTCTCAGAGTTTATGGAAGATTCCAGAAGCCAGGGAAACATGCTTCTACCATCTCAGGGCACTCCTTACCTTCATTGGCCAGCCCCTTTGTGGTAGCTTTTGGGTCTACTGTTGGACCAAGAATGGGAAACATTTTTTTTTTTCAAAGGAATAAGTTTTCAATTCGGTGCTGCAGCCAAGGAGATAGAAACTCAGTCTCAAATCCATCTCCTTGATGGACTAAAACCAGGGTTTTATATAGCAGAGAAGAAATGTAACAATGTGTAAGAAAAGAGGAACTAGGGAGGGGCAAGGAAGCAATCATGATGAATGAGGGGTCCAAAGTCTCATTGTCTGGATGTAGTGATCTGGTGAGTTTCAGTTTTTGATATATATTTTTTAAGAGTCCTGAAAATGCTTTTCTGAGAAAGGAACTCAGATAAAACAAATACAAATTTCAAGCTTTAAAACCAGAAAGGTCAATTTCTATGAAGAACGGGGAACTTATCTACAGTGTGGAAGGATGTTTTGGGCTATTGTCAGAGGCTCTGGCCAAGGCAGTCTGGACCTCATGCTACTCTTTGGTCTTTAGTTGGAGATTGCTGCTGGAGTTCATCACTGGGTTTACCTTCCCTCTCCTCTTGGACACAGAGCCCTTTCAAGGGCCTCTTCACCAAGGTAGGTGTCACAGGTGCTCTGTGGCTGCTTTCATTTGATGCTCTACTTGGTTTTGGCAAGTGGGTTGAAGTCCAGAGCTTTCTTTTGGGGAAGGACTATGGCATCAGATGGCAAGAAATACACTGTACTCACCTCCTGCCCGAGAAGCCTTCCCTTATTGTCCTTTTATGTGCTCAGATCTCCCTGAAGCACAAGATATTTCTCTCCTAGCCTTCTGCAGGTCAGTCTGCCATCCACATGACACGTTGATTTCAGACATGAGTACATACTCAGCTAGTGAGTGGTCAAACACCATCAATGATAGCACTCTACCTTCATAATGATAGAGGCCACGCTGAGCTTATGAGCATAATAAAAAAAAGTAGCAATAAGCAGAGTTGGTAGTGAAGCTAGGGGAGCACACATTTTGTCATGTGCCACTGCTGTCACTTCCTCCTCCTCTTCCCTCCTTTTCCTTCTCCTTTCTCTCTCTCCCACCTTATGTCCCTCTTTCCTGTCACTTCCTCTCTCTGTCCCTCTTTCTCTCTGTCACCCAAATCATTGCTTTAGAATTTCTTTGTTATTTCTGGGACTTCTTGGCCAGTTGCCTAACCCCGCAGATACAAACAATTTCAATAACTTGGGATCCCAGAAACACAATGGCAAGGTTACTGGTGGGGCTGAACATTTAGAATATGCAGGAAGGTGATAAGGCTTCTGCACAAGATTTCATCATGAGCCTGTCTTGGAATGGGGCATGGCTGGGACCCTGGGGGTGGTGAATGTTGGGGCCATGGCTCTGTCCTTGCCTGCCTTGGTCTCAGGCACAGTACTTTCTCTGATATATCATCGTAATCTGCCCCAAAAATCAGTAAGTGAGGTGTTTTAAGAGAAGAGTATATGGACACCTATGTATCTGTCACCTAGATTCAACAACTGTTAACATTTTGCCAAATGTGCTTCTTGCTCTATTTTTTTCCTAAACCATTTCAAAGGAAATTGCAGGCATCAGAAAACTTTACCTCTAAATACTTTAGCACATGTATCTAAAAATAAAGACCTTCTCCCATGTAACCACGATACCATTTTTCATATCTGAAGAAGTTCATAAAACCCAGTATCATTTAAAACCCAGTCCATATTCAAATGTCCCCAGTTGTTCCCCAAATGACTTTTTAAAAAATATTCAATTAAGTTTTGTGCAATGAAATGTTCCTTTTTTTTTTTTTTGTAAGGATGTTGACACTGAGGCCTTCTCCTTCCCCTCTACCAGAAGTAAATAAACTTGCCTTAGTGAAGAACTTGCCTAACTTGCCTTAGGAAAGTTTATTCACTTCCGATGGGAGGCAAGAGGGAGATCTCAGTTTCAGCCAGTAGGTGGTGAATCTGGGGTCCCTGGCCATGGCTGTGGGAATCCAAGTCCACACATTCTACCATATTGGAAGTACCTAGATCTGGTTTCCACAGGGCAGTCACATTTCCAAAAAGAATATTCGATACCAGTCCAAGGTTGCCAACATTTTATTCTGCTAGATGCAAGCATTAAAAAAAAAAACCTGTTATCACCATCATTTAACATTAAAATAGACGTTTTAATACCAAAAGCAAGGATATAGTTCCAAAATATAGCAAAGTCTTGCAGAAGTCCAGGAATCACAGGCCTGGGAGGAGAAGATGCTACACCCACAAGATGGCCGTGCTCTTGGGTTAGGGTCTGAGGACCCAGTAGTGATGGGGGAGCTGATTTTTTGGAGATGAGGCCATTGATTGCTGCCTGAAGACCTTAGAGATTTTCACATGAACTGCTGTCACTCTCTATTCTCCTGTCCTCTGCAGGTGCAAATGTTGTTTCACCACCCCTGCCCTCCACATTTTATTATACAAATGTTCAAACACACAGCAAGGATGAAACCATTTTACAGTGAGCATTCATATTCCCACCACCTATATTCTGCCACGACCATTTAATCAAATGGTTTTAGTGCAAGCCCAGTCCTTTCTGTGTCTCTGTTCAGTTCCACGTAATTGGAGCTTTCCTGCTCAGCTGTGGGGAGTGTTTCTGGATCCTGATTTCCTCTGGAGAAGGGTGGCCCTCCCTCCAGGTTGCATCATTTCTGTCTGAGAGGGGAGATGTGATCGCATGCTGGCCTCCCACCCTGCGTGGAACCTGACTATGAGCTCGTATTGCATTCACACACTCACCTAACTACAAGCTCCCATTTCATTCTCACAACTGACCGTGAGTGTCTATTTCATTTGCACACTCTCACTGTGTAGGATGTAGGTGTTATTTGCAGAACTGTCAATGTGTTGGGTGAAGGTGTTGGATGAAGGTGTGCATTTGCATGGTGAGGGCTGGCCAGTTCCAGCCCACAGGTCAGAACATCCCTCATGGATTCTCTTTTTTTTTTTTTTTTTTTTTTTGAGATGGAGTCTCGCTCTGTCGCCCAGGCTGGAGTGCAGTGGCGCAATCTCGGCTCACTGCAAGCTCTGCCTCCCGGGTTCACACCATTCTCCTGCCTCAGCCTCCTGAGTAGCTGGGACTACAGGCGCCTGCCACTACGCCTGGCTAATATTTTGTATTTTTAGTAGAGACGGGGTTTCACCATGTTAGTCAGGATGGTCTCGATCTCCTGATCTCGTGATCCGCCTGCCTTGGCCTCCCAAAGTACTGGGATTACAGGCGTGAGCCATTGCGCCCGGCCCCCTCATGGATTCTTTATGGTCAGGCACCCATGGTGGCTTCATTCCTACCCTGGTCCTCATCCTCAGCTCCATCTTCCCATAGGCCTGGCTGAGGTGAGACACTTGCCCCTGTTTCTGCTTTAAGTGGTTGATCATTGAACTTTGCTCTCTAGGATGTGCAGTATTTGGGATAGGGAAGGGCATTACATTGAGCAGAGGCCATGATTTCTCACCCTGCCAGCTCCTCCAAATTCTGTGTTTGGGCCATATGTGCAGGCAGCGTGGCCCAGCCCTGTGCTCCCCCATGGGACCTCTTAACCTTCCGACAAGCTCAGGACTGGACACTGCCTTGGAAGATGGGCTTGTGTGCCAACGGACCTTCATTTGCCAGGAGGTGTCTGGGGCTTCTGCCTGTTTCCGTCTTGCCACAGGAAGGTGGGCGCTGCCTCTCTTGATTTGTACATGTGAATTCATCTCTCACAGCCACTGCCTGGAGCAGTGGGTCACAGGCACGTGGAGAGAAAATGTGGGACCTACAGACATGGGGTCCAGGAGCATGGGTGAGTGGAGATGGGTCTCCAGCCTGGGGACCCAGCATGAGGGAAGAGGAACAGATCTAGAAAATGCAATGCGGGCTTCTTTCCCAGCCCAGAAGCGCTGCTTCTGACTGGACCCGGGGAGGCTGAGACCTCAGGGGTCCATCTGCAGACTGCAGGGGCCTCTCCTCATGGAGTGCGATTGGCTTTGGACCCTGGGGGGCTTCCTTGCACCCTCAAGGTGGGGGGACAAAGCCTCACAGTGTTCTGTGTGGGGACTTGATCAAAAGAAGATGGAGCCTCTGCAGTGAGTTCTAGAGGGCTTCGGCAGGTGCTTGAGTGTCCAGGCTGTCCCGCTGTCCGCTAACCCAGCCCTCAGCATCCTCAGCCTCTGCCCGGGAGGCGCTGCCTGCCAGGCAGGGAGAACCAGGTAGAGATCTCCCTGGGCAGCTTCTAGGACACCTGTACAGGGTGGACCATTCCTCAGGAGAGCTAATCAAGGACGGCCAGAAAACACCTTTCCACCTGCACCGCAAAAGTGACCAGCCTCACTGCATCCAGAGCACAGAGCACGCAGGGAGTAACCGTGAACACTCCCCACACACCCGTGCACAGATATCACATACACTGCACACCACACATACTATACTGCACACATACACATACACTACTCACACACCACACATTACACACAGCAGACATCACACACACACTAGACACATTCCGTGCACACACACCACACAGCACACACGCCACATAGCACACACACCACACATCACACACACCACACACCACACACACCACACACCACACATCACACACACCACACACCACGCGTACGCCACAAATGCACACTCCATACCACGTATACACACACGGAGTTTCTCTGTCCTTCCCCCCGTGTTCTCCAGGGCTGACCTGTCTCCGTGTGCATTTGTGACACGCAGGCAAAGCTAAGGGAGCAACTGCAGGTGGCACCTCTCCGCACCTCTCTCTGCACCTCTCTCTCCGCACCTCTCCTCTCTGCACTTCTCTCTCTCTCCGCACCTCTCCTCTCCGCACCTCTCTCTCCGCACCTCTCTCCGCACCTCTCCTCTCTGCACTTCTCTCTCTCTCTGCACTTCTCTCTCCGCACCTCTCTCCGCACCTCTCCTCTCTGCACTTCTCTCTCTCTCTGCACTTCTCTCTCCGCACCTCTCCGCACCTCTCCTCTCTGCACTTCTCTCTCTCTCTGCACTTCTCTCTCTCTCCGCACCTCTCTCTCCGCACCTCTCTCCGCACCTCTCCTCTCTGCACTTCTCTCTCTCTCTGCACCTCTTCTCTCCGCACCTCTCCTCTCCGCACCTCTCTCTCTGCACCTCTCCTCTCCGCACCTCTCTCCTCTGCTCCTCTCTCTTTGCACCTCTCTCTCTGCACCTCTCTCCGCACCTCTCTCTGCACCTCTGTCTCCACACCTCTCCTCTCGGCACTTCTCTCTCTCTCTGCACCTCTTCTCTCCGCACCTCTCCTCTCCGCACCTTTCTCTCTGCACCTCTCCTCTCCGCACCTCTCTCTCTGCACCTCTTCTCTCCGCACCTCTCTCCGCACCTCTCCTCTCCGCACCTCTCTCCTCTGCTCCTCTCTCTTTGCACTTCTCTGTCTGCACCTCTCTCTCCGCACCTCTCTCTGCACCTCTGTCTCCACACCTCTCCTCTCCGCACCTCTCCTCTCCTCACCTCTCTCTCCGCACATCTCTCTCCACACCTCTCTCTGTAACTCTCTCCTATGCACCTCTCTCTCCGCACCTCTCTCTCCGCACCTCTCTCTCCGCACCTCTCTCTCCGCACCTCTCTCTCTGCACCTCTCTCCTCTGTAGCTCTCTCCTCTGCACCTCTCTCTCTGCACCTCTCTCTCTGCACCTCTCTCCTCTGTAGCTCTCTCCTCTGCACCTCTCTCTCTGCACCTCTCTTTCTTTGCACCCTTCTGCACACCTCGGCACCTCTCTGCCTGAGACCAAAGAGCAGCTGCCTGAAGTTGGCAGCCAATGACATCTGAAATCCTGAGACCTCAGAATACATGATTACTAGAAAGGAGAGAGCTACTTTTTTCTGTAATTTTTAAATTCAAGAAGGTGTCTGTGTCAGAAAATTGCACACCCCTACAAACAAATGCATAGCCAAGGAGAGAACAAGAGCTCCAGATAACAGGGAAATATTGTGCTGAGGTAAATGTCAGAGAAAAACAACTTTTAAATATATCTTCAACCAGATTTTGTAAATGTATCCTTGTAAGTGATCTTCATCTTCAGTGAGTGTAACTAATGCTTTTGAGAAAGGCAGAAAACTGAATTGAGAGACAATCCTAAATTTGTTACAATGTTATGTGATGTTCTGTACATAAAAGCAATCCCTTATTTGGAACAGAAACAAACATACAATGTGTCTTAACAGCGGATACGTTTTTCTTTCTTCTTCTACTCAGTTGAACAAATAATAATAATAATAAAACATTGGTTTCAGAAGGCTCTGTGGCATTAGCCTGCCTAGAAGTTGCATGACATCCTGGGCCCTGGTGAGGGTGGTCTCAATATCACCTGCTCAACCCCTCCCTAGCTTGGCTCTCCGGGGTTACCTGCTCCTCTGAGGCTGTTGTCTTCCTGGGGCAGGTGATGCTCTTGGTCCATGGGTCTCCTTGTTCCAGCCTTGCAGGGGGAGATCCTGATCCCTCCCTGGTGTCCACTGGAGGAAGACGGGACAACAGGGTGGTGCAGTCCTCGTGGAGGTGCTGAATGACCTTGGTGTCTTGCTTCTCCCCTGCAGTCTCTGGTCTGCCCTTCAGGTGCAGTGGGGGAGGGGAGAGGCTGCACATCTGGGAAGCTACAGGAGAGTGATTATCTGTAAGGATAAGTCTGGGGCTGGAAAGGAAGCTGGGCTCTCAGCAGGGAACTTTCTTTGAGCCAGTCTCTCAGGTCCAGCACCACCCCTTAGTTTCTTTATCTTTGCTGGTTTGTGGCTGACCCTGAAAAGCCACCCATTTGGCTGCTCTGGACAAAGCTGGAAGCAGCATTGCTTGCTTCTGATATGGCATTATTACAGGTGCTGGAAAGGCGAGGAAGCTTGGAGTCTTGAAAACTCTTGACTGCTTTGGAGTGGAAAAAGGAAAAATGTCAGAAAAGTTGGAGTGATGAGGATGTCAGTACATACTAGGTGCTCAATAAACATCCAGTGAAGGTGGAAAGGAGAGCAGTTTTGTCAGAGGAGATAAAAGGAGCTGCCTGTTTACAGCTTGACACCATCCTGAAGGGATTCACACATGCTCATGGGGGCTGTAAGATGAACAGTTTCATGGGAAAATGAGGCCACTTTCATCAAACCCACAGCACCCCCTCCCCTCTGCTCTCTTGGCAGCTGTGTGGTCCCTTCTGCATCTTCACTTCTGCTCTGAGCTTTAAGGTGGCTCTTTAAAAAGGCTTCAGGGCATCAATTAGAAAAGGGTTTGCGGGCTCAGGTAGGGAAAGAATTTCTGCACAAAGCAGGAGAATTGGTCTCATAACTTAATCCATCTGGAACTAGAGAGGAAAGAAAGCATGGCTTCTGCAAAGACGGAAGAGAGACTTTCCAGCCCAAGAAGGAGAGCCATTTGTGCTTAAATATTTTCTGAATCTTTGGAATGTGTCAAAAGGAAAAAAAATCTGCTGTAACTCCATTGTCTGATTCTGTGAGTGGAGCTTTGCATCTTGTCTTCGCTGGAACAGAGACTGCTGAAATCCAGGAATGGAGAGACCTGGGGCTATGAGGAGCTTTTGCAGAAAAGGATGGGCTTCTCCAAGTGCTCCCCAACCCAGGCTGCACACATCTACTCTGCTCATCCAACACCTAGGAAGCAGGTATGGGTTAGAAATGGCAGAACCGGCCGGGTGCGGTGGTTCATTCCTGTAATCCCAGCACTTTGGGAGGCTGAGGCGGATGGATCATGAGGTCAGGAGATTGAGACCATCCTGGCTAACACGGTGAAACCCCGTCTCTACTAAAAAATACAAAAATTAGCCAGGCGTGGTGGTGGGCGCCTGTAGTCCCAGATACTGGGGAGGCTGAGGCAGGAGAATCACTTGAACCCAGGAGGCAGAGCTGGCAGTGAGCTGAGATCACGCTACTGTGCTCCAGCCTGGGTGACAGAGCGAGACTCCATCTCAAAAAAAAAAAAAAAAAAAAAAAAAGAAAAGAAAAGAAATGGCAGAACCGCATCCACCTGGGAAAGGATACGCCTTTCCTTTAGTTTGGAACTTGTTTCCAGGAGATGCCTGTGCGAAATGGTGCCAGGCTCCAGCTTGGCTGGGCTTTCTTCCTGTTCTCTTTGATAGGGCCAACCAATATGTAGCTGCCCTGAAATTTGAAAATCTGGAACAGATAAAAAAAATCTGAGCAAGATTTTTTTAATGGAAAATTTCCCAAACTGCAAAATGAAACTATTAAACTTGTCAGAGAAAGTGTGAATAAAGAGCTTTCTAATTGAAGGGAGAAATGGCTTTGGAGTGACATTTACAAACATGGGAGAAGGAGAGAAGTGTAGATGTCGTTGAGGGACAATCATGGAGCTCCTTCCGCCCTGGAGCTTGTTACCATCTTTCTTTATGTGCTGGTAGTGGCGGTGCTTGTGTTGATGTTAGTTTGCTGCCCCGCAAAGGTGATGATGTCATCTTATCCCCAGGCCTTAGAAAACCCAGTCTGGGGTGATTCAATAGTGCTAGTTGCCCAACTGTCTTCTTAAATGAGGCAAGGGCCAAGATAGTCACTAGATGATTCGAGCCCTCTGTCCATTTCTCATGTGGCAGAGACCCTGCTTATTTTTCCTCTCCGGGTCTGCTTTGAGGCCTGGTTGTGGAAAGGGGGCTTCTAGGTAGCATAGAGCCAAAGCATTCTCTTTCTGAAGTCCATAGTTGCCTTGGGAGAGGGCATGTGATGGGGACAGTCTGTGAGTAATTGAGATTGGCTAGATGACAAAGCAGGCAGTCTCCTCCCATTTGACTTCATAGTCTAAATAACCGTTGTTCCTTTTAACCCCACTGCAATGACTTAGTTCAGGCTAGAACTTTTATAAGAACCTTTATATAACTTAGGACTTTTTGGTTGTAAGTAATAGAAACTAAACTTGCAACCTTAACAACAAAAAAGAAATGCAGAAATGTATCAGACTCTCCTTCCAACCTCATGGAATGGGAAGGAACGCCTAAAGTTGGACTTCCAGAATGGACCCAGAGACAAAGGCCGTGCAGAGTCCAGACAGTTCTCACTGGTGACCTCTCTTTGTTCCCCTCTTTGCTTCTTAATTTCTTGCAGAATAGCTCCCTCTATGCCCTAGTCAGCCTAGCAAGTAAAATCACAAGCTTCTCTTTTTTCCTGGGTTGCAGACCAGTGTCCCCAGGGAGATGGAATTCACCTTTTTTTGGTTCCCGATGCCAAGTTCCCAGGAGTGGAAGTCATTGGCCATCTCAGGCCAGATTCCCAGGCAGGCCTGAGTCTGCAGAAGGCCCTGGGAAACCCAGTTTGCATAAATTCTCATTTCTGATTTCATTTTCTGATTTCTGCACCAGGGCAGAATAAATATATACCTCTTACTCCACGGCAGATTCCTACTAAAGTGCTGAGTGGCTGAGCACACAAAATGCCCATTGCAATCCCCAGTGGTCCTTCTGCCTTGGCACTCTTTCCTGCACTGCCACAGGCATCTCTCTAAGACCAAGCCTGTGCTTAGGGGCCTAGCTGGCTCTATTTGCCAAAAGGAGGAATTTCTACCTCCCTGGCACTGCCGACAAGGCAGTTCAGCTCTAAGCATCTTACTTTCTGGCCAAAGACCTCAAATGCCCTCCTTGTGTGTTTGCTCATGCTGTTGGCTTTGCGCAAAATGCAAACCTTTCTCTCTTCTGTTTGATCACTCTTCATCTTTCTGGAAGCCCGCTCAGACACAGCTGTTTGTGGGCAGCCTTCCCAGGGACAGAAGCTACTCTTCCTCTGCTATCCCATGGGACAATGTGCAGATCTCCCCACTAATCCAATGTGGTGTCAGGTGCCCCTCTCTCCCAATGGAACTTGTTGTCTAGGCGGGGCTGTCCCCTCTAGAAAGTGCTTACATGTTTGTTAAAGCAAGAAATGAGTAGACAGGTGCAGTTGTTACAGTGTCACTTGTGGTCCTGGGTGCCAAGACAGGGCTAGGAGAGTTTTCTGATTAAAACTCAGAGGTGAAGCCTGTCACCCAGCAGGCTTATGTTTTAGGACTGGGTTTGGGTTTGGAGGTTGCAGAGCTGAATGCTGCAGACCAGCTGGGGAAGGAAGGGTCGGCTTCAGGCTGTAGCCTGTGCCTTCTCCAGGGAAATTCAGGCGACGTGAGAATGGAGAACTGGAGGGCAGACACAACAAACCCGGCTGCCCACGCCGGGAGGAGGAGTTTTCCCCAGGTGCACTCCCTCTTGCTGTGAGGCTCCAGCCAGCTCTGTGGAAGGGAGACTTGCTCCAGCCCCATGCCCTTTGAAGTGTGCATGAAACTGGGCAGTGTGAGCAGTTTTCAAGCCACGCTCAGGTTTTAAATATTTTTGCCCCTCATTGTAAAGCGATGCATGTCTATCGTGGAAAAGTTGTGAAATACTGAAAAGTCAAAAGAAGAAGAAAAGGCACCCATCAGCCCCTCATCCAGGAATAACCCCTAATTAAGCAATTGGATTTTCCTTTCTGGCTTTTTTCTGTGAATTTCTTCACAATGTTGATCTCATGTTATGATGACCACATTGTGTCCTTTGTTATTGTTGTTTGTTTTACATATAAGCATTTATTTCTGTGGCCATGAAATATAATTTTTAAGGGTTTTGTAATATTCTATTTCTGAGCAAGTCACAATTTGCTGAACAGTTTTAGGCCGGGATTTTAAGTATGTTCACAGCAACGCAACCACCCTTGGGACATGAAGAAAGGGTGGTGGTGGTCAGGACCACGCTGATTCAGGAGGGTGCCCGGAGGTGGCCCAGGATCCCACAGCATCTGGTTATGCCCTGACTGTGACTAAGAATGAAACCAGATGAAAGAGCTGACACAGAAGAAAAGGTACAAATCTGGGTTACAGGAGGATGTAGGTTTGCATTCTGTTTGTCAGTTTTACTGGTTGCAGGACTTAAAGCAAGTTATTCTAGCCTGCTGGGCTTCAGTTTTTTAGTCTAAAAAATGGGGTGATAAATAATTGACTCAAAGGATTGTGCTAAAAACATAAAGTATATCATAGGCAACATGGAAGTGTTTAAATATATAACTAAAAATACACTAAATATGTAATATGTGCTGTATGGTATAATTTCATCCTATATAAATAGAATATAGAAAATATGGTGTAAGCCCTGGAAAACAGATGTAACTTATGTGAGAGAATATAGAAAGGCCTCAGAACAGTGTTTAGCACAGAAAATAGGTCCTAATATCTGTTAGAATGAGGAGTGCTCCTTTTTGACTTAGCTGAAATGATGCATGAACAAGCTTGTTTGGAATCACTGCTGTTTCATGGACCAAATTTAACAGAGGAGGAAGGCCAGGAAAGGCCAAGTCAGTGAGCTTGGCAGTACCTGACCTCGTCTGGTCATTTCTCTGCAGAGCTAACTCAAGCTCTCAGCTGCTTTGTTGAGCAGGGAGAGCATTTGATGGTTTTTCCCAATTTCCTCAAACCCATGACCTCCCATTTCATTTTCCAACTGGCCATTTTCAAAGACTGAAATTATGGTTTTGTGTTTTGCTGTTGGCTCTCTGAATTGCAGAAAAAGCTTTGAAAAATGTACTAGCTTCTGCCTGGTGGCAGAGGAGCTGGGTTGCCCTGGCACACACTAGAGGGATTATCTGGAAAATGAACACACCATCCACTGGAGTTCTCCCAGTGAAATGTCAGGCATTCAGGAATTCAGCCAGATTCCACCTGAGAGGGGGACACATGGAAAGAGCTGGGCTTCCAGACTTCAAAGTACCCCAATCTCAGGTCCCTGTGGGTGGGGACTAGTTAGAGGTGTGGCCTGAATTATAGCTTCATCACCTATAACTGTTAGGTCCTTGAGCAATTCACTTATCCTTATTATAGAATGGGTACAATGCCACCCACGTAGTAAGGTTGTTGTGAGGACAAAGTAAGACTACATATGTAACATGTCTAGGAGAATTCCCTTTCCTCCCATTTCCTCCTCTCTCTGCTCAAGATGCATTCGCAGTCTGTCAGCACTAAGCTTTCACACACTTATGCACACAGGCACATATGCACTCAATGTATGCATACCTAGGCATGCAAACACACATACACATCCATACACAGGCATACATACACACAGGTGCATGCACAGGCACACACATGCACAGACGCAGCATGCATTCCTAGGCTCACGCTCACACACATGCAAACATGTACACACCCACATGCAGAGTTACACGCATGCATGCACACACACATGCAAAGTTACATGCAGGCACACAGACACATTTATGCCCTCAACAAATGCATACACAGGCATGCATGCACACAGGCACATACACAAGCACACACATGCATAGGTGCAAACATGCATTCATAGGCTCACACAAATGTGCACATGTGTGTACATCACATGCAAACTTACATATGTGCATGCACACACATGCATATATGTGCCCACGCCCTCATTGATCTAGTCAGTTCCCTAGATATGACATGAAATTTCGCCTCTGTGTGCCTTTGAAAGCATTCTTTCCTCACTAGGAAAATTATCTTCAGTTCTTCATCAGAAAACTCCTCTCCATCTTGTCTGATCCACAAGTGTCATGTCTTCTGTGAAGCATCTCCTGCCTTCCCTAGACAGAACTATTGGTTCCTTCTTCATTTCCCTAGGAACCTGTGAGCAGATTGAAGGGATATCTCTTACTCATCTTTGGATCCCCAGCATCTGACACAGAATTAGGGCTCCTGAAATGATTACTGAATGCTGAAAGGGCAGGGGCAAATTCCATTCCATCAGGTTCCTCGGTCTGTGATCCTTTTAAAGAGGTTTGGGGGCCAATTTCTGGGGAGAAGTGCTGTTTTAGTAGCCCTTAGAAGAAAGACAGGTGTCTTATAGGAGCCAGATTCAAGGCTCGACAGGTGGAAGGAAAGCAGAAGAGAGGGAAGAAATGTTTTGTGCCCAGGATTCTGCCAGCTCAGGCATGCCTGGGACCAAGGACACAGCCTGGGGAAGTAGGGAAAGAGGACAGGAGAGAGGAAGGAGGAAAGAAAGATAGATATATGGACCCATAAGTAGGAAATATCATGCCAGGTGTCCTGTGAGAGTAAGATGGTAAGAAAGGAGATCTGCCCCTTGAAGGTGGGGGATCTGGCAGGTTCAGACAACGGCAGGGAATGGGAAGGAGGTAGGGTGATAGGCTAGAAAGTAGAATTAGTGGTTCTTAAAAGTTTTGGTCTCTTGGCACTTAAAAAAATTTTTGGAGCTCCAAAGAGTTTTTATTTATGTGGGTTGTATCTATCAATATTTACCATATTATAAACTAGAACTGAAATTTTTCAAATATATTTATGAATTAAAAAATAAAATAGCATAATACTTGTACATACGATAATATTTCAAATAACTATATTCTACTTCAAAAGATTATTGAGAAGAATAGCATTGTTTTATATTTTTTTCAACTTTTACAAATGTCTGGCTTAACAGAAGACAGGTTTTCATTTCCATCTTTGCATTCAATTGAATAGATTCAATAAAGTTTGAGCCTACCTTTTCATCCTCCAACAATTATTTCAGGTGCCGCTGTCAATCTGTTTGCATTCAATCTGTTGTGATATTCCATGCAAGTTGCCTCTGGAAACCCCTCTCTAGGCTTATGCAAGAATGAGAATGAAGAAGCTAGATTGTACTTAGTATTTTTATGCAAATAGTTTGCGTTTACAGACTCCATGGAAGGGTCATGGGTACTTCCATGGGTTTCTGAAACACACTTTGAGAACCACTGGCTGAAATAACATAAAAGTTCTGGTATTTGGAAGTTCTCACTTATAAGTGGGAGCTGAACAATGAGAACACATGGACACAAGGACGGGAACAACACATGCTGGGGCCTGTCGGCAGGTGGGGTGTGGGGAGGGAGAGCATTAGGAAAAATAGCTAATGCATGCTGGGCTTAATACCTAGGTGATGGGTTGATAGGTGCAGCAAACCACCATGACACGCATTTACCTATGTAACAAACCTGCACATCCTGCATGTGTACTCAAGAATTTAATTTTTTTTTTTTTGAGATGGAGTTTTACTCTTGTTGCTTAGGCTGGAGTGCAATGGTGAGATCTCGTTTCACCACAACCTACACTTCCTGGGTTCAAGCGATTCTCCTGCCTCAGCCTCCTGAGTAGCTGGGATTACAGGTGCCCACCACCATGCCCAGATAATTTTTTGTATTTTTATTAGAGACGGGGGTTTCACCATGTTGGCCAGGCTGGTCTTGAATTCCTGACCTCAGGTGACCCACCTGCCTTGGCCTCCCAGAGTGCTGGTATTACAGGTGTGAGTCACTGTGCCCGGTCCTTACATTTTTAAAAAATAAGTCCTGGTATTTTTTTTTTTTTTTTTGAGACAGAATTTCACTCTTATTGCCCAGGCTGGAGTGCAATGGCGCAATCTCGGCTCACCACAACCTCTGCCTCCCAGGTTCAAGCGATTCTCCTGCCTCAGCCTCCCAAGTAGCCGGAATTACAGGCTTGCGCCACCACACCTGGCTAATTTTGTGTTTTTAGTAGAGACGGGGTTTCTCCATGTTGGTCAGGCTGGTCTCGAACTCCCGACCTCAGGTGATCCATCCACCTCGGCCTCCCAAAGTGCTGGGATTACAGGTGTAAGCCACCGTGCCCTGCCAGGTCCTGGTATTTCATTGCTTTCTTTTTCAGGTGGAGCTTTACAGTATGTCTTAGCCTTGACCTGTGGAAAGGCAGACGTGCTGCTGCAGCCCTGGCTTGGCTGCTACCTGAGGGCCCTCGTGAAGCTCTGGGTCCTGGCCATGCTGTGGTGGCTTCTGGCTATACAGATAATGAGAGGAGGTGAGCAGCGGTGGGAAGGGAAGAGGAGGGGGCCCTGAGAGGGAATCAGGAGCTGAGCCTGAATCCTGAGGTCTAGGAAGGGCTGTGTGTCCCGGGGGGAGCCACTTCCTCTCCAAGAGCCCCAGCCCTTGTCTGCAGCAGGGGGTTGAGTAGATACCTAAGGGTCCTCCCAGTTAGACAGATGCTGAGATTCTGATCCGGAGTCTCACATAGCCCTGTTGTCCTGTCTGCTTTTGGGAAGGAGCTTCCTCCTGAAGGAAACTGACCATGACTATGCGAGTGGCCAGGCTCCCACTCTTATCATCCATCTGCTTCATATGGCAATAGCTTGATCGTCATTTCTTTCATTACCAAAGTATTAAAATATGTAACAATAGAAAAAAAAAGAAAAATGACAGGAATAAGCATTATAGTCCTCTTTCCTAGGGACAGCCCCTGCTGACACGAGGGGGAGCATCTTTCCAGTCTTTGTCTTGTGCTTATAGTTCATGCTTTATCTTTGCCAGATCATTTCTTCTTAAATACAGCGTTATAACGTGACTTTCAGCAATTGAATAACGTGAACGCTTTATTCTAGCATTCAAGGCTGTCTATCTTTACAGACTTGTCTTTTACGCTTTCCCTCTCTGTGTCTCTCACTCGCACTCTTGCTTCTCCCCAAATGAACCCTGTCGATCCCCTCTCATGCTGTAGAAGCCATCTCCCGGGGCTTAGCACTCCACCTCTAAACTGAATCTATTCTGTGACGCTGGGAAATTCTGACTTAATCATTCCGCACCTTGCTTCCTTGATTACTCCACAGTATCTTTTGTGTTCCTGATCTTATGTCATTTCTGAAGGCTTACCGTATCCTCTGGCTGTCTGTCCACTCTGCTTGTGTGTTCCCACAGCTGTTATTCATACCTTAATCGGCACCTTTCTCACTGTATTGTAATTGTCTGCATGCTTCTTATTTAACGCCAGTTCTGGAGCTGCCCGCAGTGTTGCACGCTGAGTATTTGCTGTCTGGGTTGAGTGTGTGTGTGCGGCTGGTCAGATGCCAGGCGCTGTCTGTGTCACCCAGTGTGTGCACATGGTTGGTTACTTGGGTGTCCTGCTAAACCATGAGCCCCCTGCAGGCAGAGTCCACACAGAATGGATCCATTCCCATTTGTAGGGCTGGGAAAAGCTCCTCCTGGCAGGGCTGGGTAGACTCTGGCCTGTGACGCTTAGGGCTGGCTGAATTCAAGACCACAAGATGTCAGTGTTGTCTCAGCCACAGAGGAACAGCCAGGGCTGTGGCTCTTATGCCTTGCCTAGGTAATTCTGTGAGTTGGGCAAAGCCCAATTTAAACAAAATATGTGTGTCTGTGTGTTATCTTTTGCCCTGTCTTCAAATCCAACAGCCAACAGAGTAGGTGGCCAGTGAATTCGTTGCTGATCATGGGTCTTGTCAAGGTACAGAGGCAACGTGTCTTTCTTGGGGGAACTGGGGGACTGCCATTCTCAGCTCTGACCTCCAGTCAGCAAGTCCAAGGGCACCGCCAGGAGCAGCACCCCTACTGGTGGTGGATGACAGAATGACAGAATTTCTGAGTTCTCACTTCTAGCTTGGAATGTCAGAAGGGTGTTGAGCAGGAAATCAGAAGGGCTGGGTCTGTCCTGACTCTGCCCCATGAAGGATTAAAAACTCAGGAAAGGCACATGATTCTCCAAGTCTCCAAGCCGCATTTTCCCCTAGATGGGCTACCTGGATTAGCAGTGAGCTACCTGATCCCCAAGGCTGTGGCTTCTGCATGTGGCCTCTAATCTATTTCCAGGTGAATGGTTACAAAGCCGTCTTCACCCTGTATCTTCGCACATGACCTAGTTGCAAATCTGTTAGTGGCCAAAACCAGCATCAGTGTTCTCATGGATGTTCTGCTATTCATTCAGTAGCAGATGAAATTCGGATTACTTTAAAAGCAATTTTTAAAAAAAATTTTGAATGGAAAAAAGTAATTTCCAGTAAATATGTTAATTTTCCTTGAACTTGTTCTTAGCAAAACTTTTTCTGTCCTGGATGCTCTCCGTAGGCCCTCTTGATTCTATTCTGGATCTTTTTTTTTTTTTTTTTTTGAGATGGAGTTTCACTCTTGTTGCCCAGGCTGGAGTGCAATGGTGCGATCTTGGCTCACCGCAACCTCTGCCTCCCGGGTTCAAATGATTCTCGTGCCTCAGCCTCCTGAGTAGCCAGGATTACAGGCATGCACCACCACGCCCGGCTAATTTTTGTATTATTAGTAGAGATGGGGTTTCTCCATGTTGCTCAGGCAGGTCTCAGACTCCTGACCTCAGGTGATCTGCCCTCCTCGGCCTCCCAAAGTGCTGGGATTATAGTCATTCTATTCTGGATCTTAATGCCATTCCAGAAAGCCAAGCACCTTAAGGCTTCACAAATATTCTGATTTTGCATAGACACTGTTGAAAAGAGCATCTTTATAATAAATTCCAAATTGATTGTATTATTTAATATCTTCTAAAGACATCACAATGACTTATTGATTTTTTGAAATTAAAATTAAAAACAAACCTACACAATTGTTTGTAATTCACCAGATGTCAGGATCTGGGATCTGCTGAAGCCAAAGCCTCATTTTAAAATGTTGAAAAAACATTTCAATGAAAAATCAATAAAATATATGACAGTAATGAAAAGATGAATAATGATCTGAAACAGACCCTTCCCTTTGATTCAATGTTATACAAAAACATTGAAAGCATCCAAAATGTAACTTGACTATAAGGTTAAAGTTGGGATTGGGAATGGGTAGAAAAGATATGGCAGAGGGAAGGAGTGCTTACTTTCCAGGTACTGTGTTAAGCACTCAAGTTCCCCAGTTGTTTACAATATATTTGAAATATGAACATATGGACTTATTTCTGCTGCTGCTATAATAATTCCTATTCACATAGTTAGATTCCCAGTGTCCCAGGTCTCATCTGCACAGCTGTAGCTGACTTGGGGAAGAGGTGACTCTAACAAGCTTGTGAGGCTGGAATAAATACATCAGTACCATGGTAGTACTCATATGTCACTTGCTTACATGCCAGTTATTCTTCTAAGCACTTTAGTTATATTTTAATCCATTTGATTCTTTTAGCAGCCTATAAGGACAGATTTACAATGATTGTTACTCCCATTTTACAGCAGGGAAAAATGTGGCTCAGAGAAAGTTGCTCAAGGTACACAGCTAGCAAGCAGCAGAGCCAGGATTTGAACCTGGGGAGTACATCTCCAGAGGCTGTGCACTTGACTACTCTGCTATGCTGAGTAATATAACCATATTACCTCTGTGGAAAAAAATAGCAGCATAAATGAACTCAGAAATTGGTACCAGGAAGCATGACATTGCTATAACAAATAGCTGACCTGAAAATGTAGATGCAGGTTTGAAACTGGTTAGAGGCTGGAAGAGTTTAGAGGTGCATGCTAATAAAAGTCTAGATTTGCTGTGGATGAAGCGTCAAGGGTGCTTCTGGTGAGGGCTTGGGAGATGAAAAGAGCCACAGAGAGAGCCTTGTCTTCTTAGAAACTATCTGAGTTGTTGTGATCCAGATGCTGGTAGAAATATGCACAGTAAAGGCCATTCTAATGAGGTCTTAGATGAAAGTGAGGAATGCCTTGCTGAAAACTGGAGGAAAGGCTATCCTTGTTAAAAAGTGGCAAATAACTTAGCTAACTTGTGTCCATGTACTAGTACCTTGTGGAAGACAAAATTTAAGAGCAATAAAATAGGTTATTTGGTGGAAGAAATCTCTAAGCAAAGTGTTGAAGGTGCAGCATGGCTTCTCTTGACTGCTTATAGTAAAATCTGAGAAAAGAAAAATGAATTAAACGAAGAATTTATAGTCAAAAGGGAAGGAGAACTTAAAGATTTGGAAAATTCTCAGCCTGGCTATGTAAAAGGAAAAATAAAAGAAAAATGAATTAAAGGAAAAATTTATAATCATCAAAAGGGAAAGAGAACTTAAAGATTTGGTATTCTTAGCCTGGTTTTATAATGGCAAAACTGCAATTACTTTTGCACCAACCTAATGATTTAAAAGATTGTTCAGGAAAGAATACCAAGGGTGTGGCCAAGTGAATGTTTGATAAAGTCATTAGCATGGATAGAAGAAAGCCAGATGCTATTCATCAAGACAATGGAAGAGTGATCCAAAATACGTTTCAGAGCTCTTCCAGGCTGCCACTTCCATCACAGGCCTGGAGTACCAGGGCCTTGAGGGCAGAATAGTTTCAAGAGAGGGGTCCAGAGGTGTGAGGCTTCAGGGCTCACTGCCCAGGGCTGCCTCAAGTCTCTGCTACTTGTATTTGAATGCAGTGCTTCTTGGCCACCCCAACAGTGGCTCAAGTAGGCCCATGTGGGGCTTGAGCCACTGTTCCAGAGGGCACAAGACAGTAAGCCTTGGTGACATACATGTGCATATGTACAGAAAATAAGAGCTGTGAGAGCATGGCTGCCTCTATCTAGATTTCAAAAGATGCCTTGGAGAGCCTCAGAGCCCTGGCAGTGAACTGCTACAGAGCAGAGCCACCACAG
The DNA here is from genome assembly GCF_000001405.40 of Homo sapiens. NCBI lineage: Eukaryota > Metazoa > Chordata > Mammalia > Primates > Hominidae > Homo > Homo sapiens. The sequence goes on from NC_000010.11 coordinate 84,616,918, forward strand.
AGAGCTAGGACAATGCTTAGTGGAGCTGTGGGATTGGAGTCACTGCTACAGTGGGTTCTACAAAGACTTACAAAGAGCCGCCAGTGTGCAACACCACCCTGGGAGAGCTGCAGGCACCTGGCCCAAACTCTGAGAGCTGCTGTATAGGTGACACCTAGCAAAGCCATGAGGGTAGGGCTCCCTGAAACTTTGGGGGCTGAGCCCCTGCCCCAGTGTGTCCAGAAGACAGGACATGGAGTCTAATGAGACTGTTCTCAAGCCTCAAGATTTAATATTGTTTGCCTTGTTGAGTTTTAGACTTGCAACCGGTTACCCCTTCCTTCTTTCCTATGTCTTCCTTTTGGAAAGGGAATGCCTATCTTATGCCTGACTTGCCATTGTGTTTTGGAAGCATATAACTTGTTTGATTTCACAGGCTCCCAGTTGGAGGGGGAATTTGCCTCAGGATGATCCATCACTTGAGTATCACCTATATTTATTTAGATGAAACTATGGTCCTTAGACTCTGATTTGGTGCTGGAATGAGTTAAGACTTTGAGGGGATAAGAGATGGAATAAAGGTGCTTTGCATGTGAGAAGGACATGAATTTTGGGGGCCAGGAGAAGAATGCTGTGGTCTGAGTTTGTCTGCCAAATTCACTTGTTGAAACATAATTGCCAACCTGATAGTATTAAGAGGTGGGGCCTTCAGGAAATGATTAAATCGTCAGTGTGGAGCCCTCAAGAATGGAATTAAAATGTCAGTAAAAGAGATTCACACTGCATTTAGCCCCTTTTGCCCTTCTATCCTTTCTACCATGAGAAGGCGCAGCAACGGATGCCATCCTGGAAGCAGAGAGAAGCGCTTACCAGGCACAGAATCTGCTGGTGACTTGATCTTGGACTTCTAAATCTCCAAAACTGTGAGAATATAAATTTCTGTTATTTATAAATCATCCAGTCCCAGATTTTTTTTTTTTTTATAGCAGAAGGTACAGACTAAAACAAGCATGCACTTGGATGCTTGGAAACAGAAATCCTTCTGTTTCTGCCAAATCCCTAGTGCCCTAGGAGAAGCTGGGTGATTCCCTTCACAGGTGAAGGTCCCTTACCCTTCTTCAAGCCTTTGCACATGCCTGGTGGACATGCCCTCTCTTATCATTTTTTTTTTTTTCTGTTTAGGCTCCAAAATCTAGGGAGAAAGCTATAAAATCAGGGAGGTGTGTATGTTTGTGTGTGTGTGTGTGTGTTTGTGTGCATGCATGTGGATGTGTTTTGGGGTGTGTCAGGAAAGGCTTCCTAAGGAGTTGACATTATAGTTTAGCTGAAAGAGATAAACAGAAGATAACTTGGAGGGGAATAGGTTTGGGGACAGCTGGTGAGGTTAGAGGGTGAGATTAGGAAGGGCTATGTTGTACCAGCAAATGGGGAAAACACTGCAGACTTGTGAGAATGTGGAACAGTTGCATGAGTGTTAGTAATTCAGTGTCAATGATAATATCCAAAAATTTATAGTGAGCATGTGTCGAAGATTAATTTAACACATTAAAGAGGGAACAGGCAGAATGGTAAAGCTGGTTCAAAGAAGAATATGAGAGCTGAAAGCATGTGATCAATAAAAGAAAAGATGCTGAAATAAGACTGGTACATTAGATATCAAACTGGTTAATATTCCACATGGCAATAAAACTATGCTATAGTTTGTATATTTGTTCCCTCCAAAATCTCATGTTGAATTATAATCCCCAGTATTGGAGATGGAGCCTGATGGGAGGTGATGGGATCATGGGGGTGGATTTCTCATGAATGGCTTAGCGTCATCCCCTTGGTGTTGTCCTGAAGATACAGAGTGAGTTCTCTCGAGATATGGTTGCTTAAAAGCACGTGGCTGCCAGGCACGGTTGCTCATGCCTGTAATCCCAGCACTTTGGGAGGCTGAGGTGGGTGGATCACCTGAGGTCAGGAGTTTGAGACCAGCCTGGCTAACATGATGAAACCCCGTTTCTACTAAAAATACAAAAAATTAGCTGGGCATAGTGGCGGGCACCTGTAATCCCAGCTACTCAGGAGGCTGAGGCAGGAGAATCGCTTGAACTCAGGAAGCGGAGGTTGTGGTGAGCTGAGATCACGCCATTGCACTCCAGCTTGAGCAACAAGAGCAAAACTCCATCTCAAAAAAAAAAAAAAAAGTGTGTGGCACCTTGCCCTATCCCTTGCTCCTCCCTTGCTCCTACTCCTGCCATTTGAGGTGCCTGCTCCCCCTTTGCCTTCTTCTACGATTGGAAACTTCCTGAGGCCTCCCCATAACCAGATGCTAGAGCTGTGCTTTATGTACAGCCTGCAGAATCATGAGCCAATTAAACCTCTTTTCTTGTAAATTACCCAGTCTCAGGTGTTTATTTATAGAAATGCCAGAATAGCCTAATACAGAAAATTGGTACTGAGGAGTGGGGCACTGCTATAAAGATACATAAAAATGTTGAAGTGACTTTGCAACTTGGTAACAAGCAAATGTTAGAGGATTTTGGAGGGCTCAGAAGACAGGAAGATGAGGGAAAATTTGGAACTTTTTAGAGACTGATTAAATGGTCGTAACCAAAATGCTGACAGTGATATGGATAACAAAGTCCAGGATACTGAGGTCTCAGATGGACATGAGGAACGTATCAGGAACTAGAGCAAAGGTCACACATATTATGCCTTAGCAAAGAGATTGGCTGCATTGTGTTCATGCCCTAGGGATCTGTGAAAGTTTGAGCTTCAGAGTGATGATTTAGGATATGTGGCAGAAGAAATTTTTAAGTAGTAAAGCAGTCAAGATGTGGCCTGGCTGCTTCTAACAGCCTAAACTCAGATATAGGAGCAAAAAATGGCTTAGATTTGGAACTTATATTTAAAAGGAAAGCAGAATGTATCAATTAATTAATTAATTATTATAAGTTTGGAAAATTTGCAGCCTGGACATGTGGTAAAAAAAAAAAACCTATTTTCAGGGGGAAGAGTTCAAGTGCTAAGGCACTTGGCTCCCTTTCAGTTACACATATATTTCTAGCAAGTGGTGGCAAACTATATTATAGTTTTATTGCCATGTGGAATATTAACAAATTTGATATCTAATGTACCAATCTTATTTCAGCATTCTTTTTTTTTTATTAATCACATGCTTTTAGCTCTCATATTCTCCTTTGAACCAGCTTTACCATTCTGCCGGTTCCCTCTGTAATGTGTTAAATTAATCTTCGACACATGCTCACTACAAATTTTTGGATATTATCATTGACACTGAATTACTAACACTTACGCAACTGTTCCACATTCTCACAAGTCTGCAGTGTTTTCCCCATTTGCTGGTACAACATAGCCCTTCCCTATATCACCCTCTAGCCTCACTACCTGTCCCCAAACCTATTCTCCTCCAAGTTATCTTCTGTTTATCTCTTTCAGCTAAACTATAATGTCAACTCCTTAGGAAGCCTTTCCTGACACACCCCAAAACACATCCACATGCATGCACACACACACGATATACACACCTCCCTGATTTTTATAGCTTTCTCTCTAGATTTTGGGAAAGAGCCTTGAAGGCATTTTAAAGACCTTCACAGCAGCTCCTCCCATCACAGGTGCAGAGGCCTAGGAGGGAATCATGATTTTGTGGGCCATTCCCAGGGCCCTGCTACCCTGCACAGCCTTACAGCCTTGGAACACCGCTTCCCACATCCAAGCTGCTTCAGCTCCAGCCAGGGCTCAAAGAAGCCCAGGTACAGCTTAAGCTGCCACCTTGGAGAATGCAAGCCATAAGCCTTAGTGGTTTCCACGTGGTATCAAACCTGTGGTTGTGCAGAGTGCAAAAGTGAAGGCTTGGCAGCCTGCACCTAGATTTCAGAGGATGTATGAGACAGCCTGTGTGCCCGGGCAGAAGCTCACTGCAGGGGCAAAGCCCTCAGAGAAAACCTCTACTAGGGCAGTGCCAAGGGGAAATGTGGAGTTGGAACCCCTGCACAGAGTCCCCAATGGGGTACTGCCTACTGGATCTGTGGAAAGAGAGCTGCCACTCTCCAGAACCCAGAATGGTAGAGCCACCATCAGTTTGCAACCTCAGTGTGGAAAAGCCACAGGGGTAGAGCTGCCCAAAGCCTTGGGAACCCACCCCTTGCACCTCTGTGCCCTGGATGTGAGACATAAAGTCAAAGGAGATTATTTTGGAGCTTTAAGATTTAATGACTGCCCTCCTGGGTTCCAAAATTGCATGAAACTCATAGCCCCTTTCTTTTGGCCAATTTCTCCCTTTTGGAATGGGAATGTTTGCCCAATGACTATACCTCCATTGTATCTTGGGAGTAAATAACTTGTTTGATTTTACAGGCTCATAGGTGGAAGGGACGTGTCTTGTCTCAAATGAGACTTTGGACTTGGGACTTTTTTTTTTTTTTTTTTTGACAGCGTCTCGCTCTGTCGCCCAGGCTGGAGTGCAGTGGCACGATCTCGGCTCACTGCAAGCTCTGCCTCCCGGGTTCATGCCATTCTCCTGCCTCAGCCTCCCGAGTAGCTGGGACTACAGGCGCCCACCACCACGCCTGGCTAATTTTTTTTCTTTTTGTGTTTTCAGTAGAGACGGGGTTTCACCGTGTTAGCCAGGATGGTCTCGATCTCCTGACCTCATGATCCGCCCGTCTCAGCCTCCCAAAGTGCTGGGATTACAGGTGTGGGCCACCGCTCCCGGCCTGGACTTGGGACTTTGGAATTAATGCTGGAAAGAGTTAAGACTTTGGTGGGGGGATATCAAAAAGGGATGCTTGTATTTTGAAATGTGAGAAGCATACGAGACTTGGGGAAGGGCCAGGGCTGGAATGATATATTTTGTATATTTGTTTGTGCCCAAATCTCATGTTGAATTGTAATCCCCAGTATTGGTGGTGGGGGCTGGTGGGAGGTGATGAGATCATGGGGATAGATTTCTCCTGAATGGCTTGGCACCATCCCCATGGTGTTGTTCTGGTAATAGTGAGTGAGTTCTTGTGAGATCTGGTTGTTTAAAAGTGTGTGGCACCTCCCTTCCCCTTGCTCTTGCTCCCACCATGTGAAATGCCTGCTCCTCCTTTGCCTTCTGCCATGACTGGAAGCTTCCTGCAGCCTCCCCAGAAGCAGATGCTGGAACTCTGCTTTCTGTACAGCCTGCAGAACCATGAGCCAATTAAATCTCTTTTCTTATACGTTACCCAGTCTCAGGTATTTCTTTATAGCAATGCAAGAATGGCCTAATACAAACTATAACAATTATTGTGGAAATTCTTATAGATCTCTATGCATTTAAAACTTACCAGTATTTTAAAGTTAACATTTACTTTGACAGAGTCCTAGTCTTATGAGTAGTGAATAGTAAGCCAAACAAAATTACTCCCCCACTAGAACATCAGGTGATCTTTAGGTAGGTTTGCTAAACAGTGTGCTAAGGAGACACTGAAAGGCACTGGAAGTCTTTTGGCTTATTCTCAACCTTGACGTATAGTTTTCTAAATACTAGAAGCCTGGAATTATAGAGGGTTTAGAGATAAGGCTAGCAAGGTAGGCAGGGCGGATGTAGGGGGGCTTTGCCTGCTATGGTAGAGTGTGAACTTCATCCCGGTGCAAGTCACTGACTGGTTTTGATCAGAGAAATGATGATTTATCCCTCCACCCATCTATCCATCTACCCATCCATCCATCCACCCATCCATCCATCCATCCATCCATCCATCCATCCATCCATCTATCCATCCATCCATCCATTTATTCAACAAATCTTAACTGAGTATGCCTAGTACTAGCCCCAGAGTTGGGAATAGAGGGGTGAATAAGACAAGAAAAGTATGTTTCTACTCTTGTGCAGTTTACATCTAGTGGAGAGAGAAATACAATAATTATATCAATTCTCTGGCTGTGGCTAATCTTAGGGTGGTCAAGGAAGGCCTCTGCAGGAGTGATAGTGGAGAGAAAGAACCAGCTACACAGGATCTGGGGAGGTAGATTTCAGCACGAGGAAATAAAGCAAAGGTTGGAATTAACTGAGTGGGTCACATGAATAAAAAGATGATGTGGGTGGCTGGAGTACAGGGGACAGTTTGCTGAATGGGCTGAGCATCTGCAGAGCAGCAGGAAAGGGGATTATACAGGGCCCCATGATCTCAATTCTTAGAGTGATGGTGTTTAAGCTGGAAAAAAAGACATGACCTAATTTAGGGTTTTCAACTGATTATTTTGACTGTTGTGTGGAACATGGATTAAGGGACACAGCAAGAGAAACCAGCAAAGAGACCAGGGTGGGTAGGCTTTGGGAAGACTGTAAGAGATGGTGGGGTCTGTAACACAGCGTTAGCATGACCAGGTTTCTGATTTTGAAAGGTCACCTTGGAGAGCAGCAGGCTGGAGCCCTGGAGAGAAGAGTGGCTGGAGTTAAGGAACTACTTTAGAGTTCAGGAGAGAACTGATGAGACTCCAGATTAGATGGTAAGAATGGGAACAAAGAAATGGATTGAAATCATGTTGGAGCTTAAAGAAAATAATTCAGAAGCTGCTTCTAATGAGGGCTTCTGTTTTCAGAGCCTTCATTTTCATATGCAGTGCCTGGCTAGAGAGGAACAGCTCTCACCTAGACCTTGTTCTTCCTGTTCTCCTCCTCAGTCTGCGTATCCCTCCAAGTGGAAAAAAGGAACCCTTGAAGAAATACCTGGGGAGGTTGAGTCCACTCCCTGTAGGAGGACACACGCTCTGCCGTTCCAGGTCTCTCCTACACCAAGGAGAGATTAAATCTCGTTTTGACAAGGACTCCTCTTATGATGGTCTTATAGGCACCTTCTGTGGTGGTTGGTGGCTGAAGGTGTTGCATCACCTGTGAATGATTTCAAACAGAGAAGAAGCCAGCCATTTTCAAATACACTCCTATTTAGAGCCAGAATCCTACAGACAATAAATAGTGGGGCAGGCATTTTCATCTCAGTCTCTGTATCCCAAGCGGACACTACTTCACTGCTACTACTCAGAGGCTCAAAGTTCTCAAGGGAGATGCTTTCAGTTTGGTTTTGCAGTAAACTGTCAACCCTGCAGGCCTAAGCTGGAAGGCAAAGCCCCAGGGCTCATTCAAGCAGGTACCCGCATAACCCCAGGCCTCCTGCTGTCCTTCTGTTTGGAGTTTTTTTTTTTTTTTTGAGACGGAGTCTCGCTCTGTCGCCCAGGCCGGACTGCGGACTGCAGTGGCGCAATCTCGGCTCACTGCAAGCTCCGCTTCCCGGGTTCACGCCATTCTCCTGCCTCAGCCTCCCGAGTAGCTGGGACTACAGGCGCCCGCCACCGCGCCCGGCTAATTTTTCGTATTTTTAGTAGAGACGGGGTTTCACCTTGTTAGCCAGGATGGTCTCGATCTCCTGACCTCATGATCCACCCGCCTCGGCCTCCCAAAGTGCTGGGATTACAGGCGTGAGCCACCGCGCCCGGCCCTGTTTGGAGTTTTAAAACATTAGTCTTATATCTGGGATGGGTGTTTTTCTAGGCCAGAGCAAGAATGGCATGTGGTGGTGAGCTTAGAGGCTTTGTATTTATGCAGGAAAGAAAATGCTGGCACTTGGAGATCACAGGAAAGCCAGGTGAGGTCTCATTTGTTCTAAGTAACAAGAAAAATGTGATTGTTTTTCCAAGTTCTAGTCCCTTTGGGTAATTACATCCAATGTTGTCTTCTCCAAGATCAAAGGGTGACTCTTTGGATCTGCGTTGCAAATGAGTTACTATACTTTGCAAGCTAAGTCACCACTGCCTAGGTTGTTGTGAGATGGGGCAGGTATACCAGGAGCGCTTGGTCTCAGAAGGATGACACAACAAACCCAGTGAAGCTGGAGACGCATCTTTCAAACAAATTGGTGAGGAAAAGAAGGGTTTGAGAATGGGACAGAGGACACAATCACTGTGCACACTGTGCACAGACATCCCAAGTAGGGAGGAGATTTTCAAAAAAATTCAGCTCTGAAGCTGTTGTTTTATATCGAAGGTAGGTCCGTCAACAACCCTAATCCTCCACCCCAATGTAGCAGCCAAAAGGAGAAGGTGTTCTGTTGCATATATTTGCAGAATGGTTTGGAAGGAAGTCTTGTTCCTGAAGTTCCAGTAATTGCAAGCATCTGTCACTAACAAATAGAAAATGGAAATAGCTCAAGAAATAGACTTACACTTGCTGAAGTTAATGCTTGCAAGGCTAAACTTGAAGCAATTTTAGACACAGAGTACAAAGAGTCTGCAATGAGTATATCAACCCTGATAGAGGAGAGAGTCCAATGTAGTACAGATCAGTGAGGAATGTGTGTGTAGGGGTGGGGGGTGGTACATCTGTGAGGGTGTATTCTTGTGGTCTAAGCCATGGCAAGAATGTTATAAATGTAGGCATCATTATGCTCATTTGACCAGTAGGAAATCTGATGCCCGGAGAATTGAGCCAACTTGTTTCTGTCATAAATTGAATCCATGTCTGTAAGAATTCAAACCACCTTGTCCATTCATGGATGGGGGTTGGATGCACCCCGGAGGTGGACCGGGGGGCAGGCCAACCAGACACCTGAAGAAGAGGTTGTTGAGAACGTTAGCAGGGCAGACACCTTCCTCAGCCTCTCTTTGCATACTTATTATGTATACTATTATGCACATCAGCAAAACCAATATTTCTCACACCGTGTTCTTAAGATTATTACTGTGTTACTAGTACCCCATGAAATATTAGGAAATATCCTACAAAGGGCTTCTTTGCCCAGAGAAATTTGGGTTAAAAGATGATCCTTTTACAGGAGGACTTGTCCAACCTTTTAATAGGCTGTCGTGCGTGACGAAGAGGAGATAAAGTATATCACGTTTCCTAAATTTACTGGATCTTATTGCCCGCCCCCCCCCCCGCCCTGTTTAGTGGATGGTCTCTATAGCTATAGCTATATTTATATATTAGTCTCCTTCATTTAGTGAATTGTATATGTAGTTCATTCTGTAAAGTGGGCTTAGGTCTTTTTATTTTTATTTTTCTTGAAAACGTTCTGCATTACAAGAGCTTCTACACTTTGTACAGCTCAGAATTTTGTTGGCAGCATGCACAGAATGGCAGAGAAGTGCAGGGAAAAGGGCCTAGACTCTGGGAGTTTGCAGATTGAGCTGCGGGGAGCAGGATGCACAGCCTGAAGAAGGAATGTATCTAGAGAAAAGGATGAGGGAGTAGTAATCCAGACAAGGGGAGAATGATAAGGCAACTAGGAGAATGAGATTCTTGCAGTAAAGTGGAGAATAAATGGACAGGCCAAAAATATGAGAGAGGGTGAGCCTGCTGTACTGTTTTCCTCCATTTCCCTGCAAAGAATCATGTTCGAACTGCTTCTTACTGCTGGGCACCACATAGGCTGGTGCCCAGCAAGAGTGCAGTTAAATAATCTGGGGCTTTGCGGCCAAACAGATTTGCATTCAAATCTTGCTCACTAATTCCTGGTTTGTGAGTTTGAGTACATTCCTTCAACTCATCTCGTGACTGCTAAGAACTGTTGAGAAGTTTCAAGGAGGTAATGCATCTGTGATGGTTAATGCTGAGTGTCAACTTGATTGGATTGAAGGATGCAAAGTATTGTTCCTGGGTGTGTCTGTGAGGGTGTTTCCAAAGGAGATTAACATTTGAGTGAGTGAACTGGGAGATGCAGACCCACCCTCAATCTGGGTAGGGACCATCTAATCAGCTGCTAGCATAGCTTGGGACTCAGAGTACCTTTCATCTGTCATAGGCTTTGCTTTACTTTCCTCTTTGCCTTCCGGCTCTCTGGCCTCTTTTCTTTCTCTAAGTCTCTTCCTTTCTCTATTTCAGGCTTAGGAATTGTTTAAACCTTGATTGTGGATAAACTGCTTCCTTATAACTGAGAACTAATTGTTCCTAAGCAGATTAGAACTGAAATTGGAAGCTGGGTGAAAGGTGCAACTCCCCACACCATGTTACCACGCCTCCCGGAGGCTGTCTCACGGGCCAGGCATGCAGCACTCCTCCTCTGGGTCTATGGCTGCTCTTCCTGGTAGACCTATTTTGCTTTGCAACATTATATTCTGCTAAACAGATTTAAAGAGAACATTTAACTCCTGTATGATAGACCTATTGGCAGTGCGACATTGGGGAAATTTTAAATGGTATGTGTATGGTATTTTTTGCCACTTGAATTTTTTTGTTACTCTTTCAAAATGTAAATCAAAACTTCCATTGTGTACGTCTTTCCTGCCATTATGTTACATGATGTTCTTTGCCTGTTACATCTGAGCAAAAGAAAGCTGGGTCTAAAATGGCTGTTGTCAGCTTCTGGAATTCTGGACAGACAACGTCAATGTATCTGAACACACAACGGAATATTTAGGAGAGTTGCTAAGTTGATAACCTTGGAGAACATTGTGCTTTTAAAAATGTCGAATGAATAAAATTTGAGAACTTATTATTTTCCCTCTGATTCATACATGTAATATGTTCTCATTGTAAAAACTAGAAATACAGAAAACTACATCTCATCCAAAAATTAAATTATGGCATATTTTCTTACTTTCTAAGTCTCCTCTGTCTCCATCTTCCTCTCCCCTCTCTCAGAAACCAACAGATGATCAGACTGGACACATGGGTCAGTTTCATTTATTTAACATATTTTGGAGAATTTCTGCCTCATTAAATCATCTCCTGTTCATGATCTTAAAAGCTATTTTACCACATAGATATACTACAGATTTTTTGACCTGTCCCTTATTGTTGTCCCTTATGTGGCATATGTCAATTGTTGGATGCTTATTAGGTGGCTGCTAATTTTAGGGGGATTATACATATCACTGTGATGAACATCACTGTTCACCTATCTTTGTGCACTTCTCTAATGATTTCTTTAAAATTATTTCCTAAAGAGCACAACCTGGTTAAGCACACGGGATCTCTGGTTCCAGATGGCCCTCCAGAAAGCCAGCAGCAACATGCACCCTCATCTGAGACAGCTGGACTTTTTCTGTGCTTCACCAACCTGGGCACAAAGAACACAAAGCAAAGCAAAAACAAAGCAGCTCTACCAGTTTGATGTGTGAAGTGTACCATTTCATTATTGTGTTATGTTCTCGTTCTTTGATTTCGCATGAACTTGACTATTTTATGTAGTGTTTATTTTCCATTGATTTTCTTATTTTATAAATTGCCTTATTCATGCCCTTTGCTCATTTGTTTATTGGAGTGTTCACTAGCATGTAGCAGTTCTCTCTCTCATAAATGAAATATATTAAGCCTTCATCTGGTGGATAGGTTACCCATATTTTTTCTATTTTTTTTAGTAGTCTTTTAATTCTGCGTATGTCATTTTTAGGTGCTCAGAAGTTTAAAAATCTTATCTAGTAAAATCAATCAGGCTTTTCCTTTATTATTCCTTCATTTGTTCTTATGGTTACAAAGCCCTTCCCTACTCTGTCAAATAGCTATTCGTTTCTATTTTCTTTGATGGTTTATTTTTTCAGATTTAGCTTGTCAGTTGTTTGCAATATATTTTAATGTGTGATATGAGGATCTAATATATTATTTGTAAATGTTTAAACAATTGTTTCAGTATTATTTATGAAATAAAACTTTTACACTGCTTCCAAATTCTTCTTCTTTCTTTTCCTTGGGACGAAGTCTCGCTCTTGTCCTCCAGGCTGGAGTGCATTGGTGTGATCTCAGCTCACTGCAACCTCCGCCTCCTGGGTTCAAGCAATTCTCCTGCCTCAGCCTCCCAAGTAGCTGGGATTACAGACACCTGCCACCATGCCCAGCTAATTTTTGTATTTTTAGTAGAGAGGGGGTTTCACCATGTTGGCCAGGCTGGTCTCGAACTCCTGACCTCAAGTGATCCACCCACCTCGGCCTCCCAAAGTGCTGGGATTACAGGCGTGAGCCATCGCACCCAGCCCCCAAATTATTCTCTTATTATATAAGCAGTATTTACAAATACATGAGTTGCTTTCTGAGTTTGTCAATTTTTCCTCTCATTAATGTCATTTAATTCTTCATTAGTGCCATATTTGTGTGACTGGAAATGTACTTGTATATAGTACTCGCCTTTAAAAAAGTAGGTACGTTCCTCTCTTGATTCTTATGATGAAATATCTTTATTTTGGTGAGCTCCTCAAAGACTTCATTGCAATTTTGATTAGAATTCTATTAAAATGCAAAATAATTTTGCACTTAGTTTTCTGTATACATTTATAAGTTTGTTATTCAAGCTTTCTTTGATCTTTACAAAAAATTAGTAATTTCACATAATTTCTTCATATTTCGTAATTAATTGAATATTAATTGTTTTCCATTGTTCGTTGCGATTATGAATAATTTTTTCTCACATAAAATTATTGTTTTTTTCTGTGTATAAAAAGGTAATGGGGCCTGGCGCGGTAGCTCACGCCTGTAATCCCAGCACTTTGGGAGGCCAAGGCGGGCGGATCACCTGAGGTCGGGAGTTTGAGAACAGCCTGACCAACATGGAGATAACCCATCTCTACTAAAAATGCAAAATTACCTGGGCGGGGTGGCGCATGCCTGTAATCCTAGCCACTTAGGAGGCTGAGGCAGGAGAATCGCTTGAACCCGGGTGGCAGAGGTTGCGGTGAGCCGAGATGGTGCCATTGCACTCCAGCCTGGGCAACAAGAGTGAAACTCTGTCTCAAAAAAAAAAAAAAAAAAAAGGTCATGGTGTATGGTGTATTGCATTTTGCTGAGCTCTTTTTTGAAAATAAGAAATTTTACACAGAAATGTGTTTACATATAGTAAATATTATATGTATATATTTATCTGTGATACTGTATTCTCCTATTTTTGGTTAATGGGTATAAAAATGCAGTTAGAAGGTATAAGTTCTAGTATTCAGTAATATAGTAGAAAAATCATAGCTAACAATAATTTATTATATATTTTAAAGTAGCTGAAAGAGAATTATTGTAATGTCTCTAACACAAAGATCAATGTTTGAGGTGATGGGTATGGCAATTATTCTTATTTGATCATCACACATTGCATACATGTATCAAAATATCACATATACCTCAAAAATATGTACAATAATGATATGTCAATTAAGAAAATAAAAAAAAAGAAATTCCTCTAACAGTGGCAAAATAATGTGGATCTTGGCAGGCATTCTTTTTTTGCTCCTGCATTTAATGGAAATGCCTCTAAACTGAATCATGAAGAATAATGTCTGGTCTTGCCTTGAAGTAAATAATTTTTGTCACATAAAAGAAATATGTTTTAATTTTTACTTCTATGAAGAGGGTATTTTCCCCTATCATGAACAGGATGTTGATTTAATCAAATGCTTTTCCTGCTTCTGTTCGGGGAATAAATTGGTTTTTATTTTCATAACTTATTGATATACCACAATATTTTAATAGATTCACAAATATTAAACATCCCTTATATTCATGAACTATTCTTTTTTTTTTTTTGAGACGGAGTCTCGCTCTGTCGCCCAAGCTGGAGTGCAGTGGCGCGATCTCCGCTCACTGCAAGCTCGACCTCCTGGATTCACACTGTTCTCCTGCCTCAGCCTCCCGAGTAGCTGGGACTACAGGCGCCCACCACTGCGCCCGGCTAATTTTGTTGTATTTTTAGTAGAGACGGATTTTCACCGTGTTAGCCAGGATGGTCTAGATCTCCTGACCTCGTGATCTGCCCGCCTCGGCCTCCCAAAGTGCTGGGATTACAGGCATGAGCCACTGCGCCTGGCCGACTATTCTTTACATAGTCATGTTGTATATTTACTTGAATATATTTTGAATTCAACACTACCAATAATTGCATTTGTATTAGATAACTGATTTATGGTTTTCCTTTATTTTGTACTCTATTTTCAGCTGTTTGAAAAGTAGTTGAAGTATTTCTTTGTAAGAGATTTGAAAGAACTCACCTGGAAAATTATTTGTGCCTGTGATCTGTTATGGACTTAATCCTTTAACAACATTTTCAGGTTTTTCCCACCGATGAAACTTTTTAGATTTTCTCATTTAGTCTTGGGTCTATTTTGATAATTTATATTTGCTTTTAAAATTTTCCCATTTTTAAAGGATTTTGAAATCCATATAGATGGGCTTTTAAATCATATAATTCTCTATTTAAAAACAATGTCAGGCTGGGCGCAGTGGCTCACGCCTGTAATCCCAGCACTTTGGGAGGCCGAGGCGGGCAGATCACTAGGTCAGGAGATTGAGACCATCCTGGTTAACACGGTGAAACCTCCTCTCTACTAAAAATGCAAAAAAAAAAAAAAAAAAAAAAAGTTAGCCGGGAGTGGTGGCGGGTGCCTGTAGTCCCAGCTACTCGGGAGGCTGAGGCGGAAGAATGGCATGAACCTGGGAGGCGGAGCTTGCAGTGAGCCAGGATTGCGCCACTGCACTCCAGCCTGGGCAACAGAGCGAGACAACGTCTCAAAAAAAAAAAAAAAAAAAGTCTCTGCCTCTTTCTTTATTTGACCTTTTCTATATCTAATATTATGCACATGAGCTTTCTTTCTGTTTTTCATTGCATATTTTGTATTTTTGTTTCTCCCTCAAATTCAGCCCTTGAATTTATTTGTTAATTTTACTATTTTCTGTTTTGCAAATACAGTTGTCCCATAGTATCTTTGAGGAACTGGTTTCAGGACTTACCTACCTGCCAATACCAAATCTGAGGATGCTCAAGTCTCTTATATAAAATAGCATGGTGTTTGTGTATTACCTATGCACATCCTTCCATATGCAGTACTTTAAATCCTTCCTAGCTTGCTTATAATACCTAATGCAATGTAAATGGTTGTTATACTGTGTTGCTTTTGCTTGCATCCTTTTTTATCATATTATTATCTTTTATTTTTTAATGTTTTTGATCTGAAGTTGGTTGAATTTTCAGATGAGGAACCTGTGCGTATGGAGGGCCAACCGTAATTACAGTTGTACACCAAGTAAGAAGGCTTCTGTCAACAATGGACCGAACATATGGTAATGGTCCCATAAGATTATAATGTGGTGAAAAATTCCTATCACCTAGTGACATTGTAGCCATTGTAATGTCATAGTGCAACGCATTACTCAACTGTTTGTTGTAGTGCTGGTGTAAAAAAAAAAAATAACCTACTCACTGCCAGTTCTATAAAAGTATAGCATGTACAGTTAGGTACAATTGATAATGATAATAAATGACACTGTTAATGCCATATATATTTACTATACTATACTTTTAATCATTATTTTAGAGTATACTCCTTTTACTTATTAAAAAAAAGTTATCTTTAAAGCAGCCTCTGGCCAGTCTTTCAAGAGGAATTCCAGTACATATTATTATCACAGGAGATGACAGCTCCAAGTGTGTTACTGCCCCTGAAAACCTTCCAGTGGGACAAGACATGGAGGGGCAAGACAATGATGATATTCATGATCCTGACTCCGTGTAGGCCTAGGCTAATGTGTGTGTTTTCATCTTAGTTTTTAATAAAAAAGTTTAAAAAGAAAAAAATGTAAATAGAAAAAAGATTATATAATAAGGAGTAAAGAAATAAAATATTTTTGTACAGCACGTTTTAAGCTAAGTGTTATTACAAAAGGGTCAAAAAGTTAAAAAAATTTAAAGTTCATAAAGTAAAAAACTAGAGCAAGCTAAGGCCAATTTATTACTGAAGAAAGACTATTAAAAATTTAGCTTAGCCTAAATGTACAGTGTTTACAAAATGTGTGTAATAGTGTACAGTTACAGTAAGCTAAGGTCGATTTCTTTTTGAAGAAAGAATTTTAAAGATTGAGCTTAGCCTAAGTGTACAGTGTTCAGAAAATACGTATAGTAGTGTACAGCAATGGCCTAGGCCTTCACATTCACTCACTGACTCACCCAGAGCAACTTCTAGTCCTGCAGGCTCCATTCATGGTAAGTTCTCTATACAGGTAACTATTTTTAATCTATTAAACTGTATTTTTACTGTACCTTTTGTATGTTTAGCTATACAAATACTAACTGTGAGAGGCGCTCAAACCAGAGCCACTCTGTCTTGAATAGGGGCTGATTAAATGAGGCTAAGACCTCCTGGGCCGCATTCCCAGGAGGTCAGGTATTCTTAGTCACAACATGTTTACGGTTAAGCAAACAGAAACAGACCCAGGACATGACAGACCCAGGACATGACAGACCCAGGAAATGTCCTGTGTCCCAATATCAATATCTTAAGAACAAAAGCATTCCTAGTTTAAGAGTCAGTTTCGCTTCAAAGATAATAATATAGACTCTTGGCGAAAGACAGTAGTTACACAAAGATTAGCAACCATTTGTCACAAACCCTTGTAGTAGAGCACAACTTTCCCATGATTTTTATCTTATATACAAACAAGCATGTGCCTAAGATGAGTGCGTTCCTCCTCTTACTTTTGGGAAAGTCCTGCTCTGTCTATGGAATAGCTATTCTTTCATTCCTTAACTTTCTTAATGAATTTGCATTCACTTTACTCTGTGGACTTACCTTGAATTCTTTCTTGAGCAAGATTTAAGAACCCTGTCTTGGGGTCTGGATTGGGACCCCTTTCTGGTAACATAACCATTGTTTTATAATAGCCTGCAGTATTTGGTACTATTGATGCTATACAGGCTTGTAGCCCAGGAGCAACAGGTTATATTACATAGTCTATGTGTGCAGTAGGCTATCCCATCTAGATTTGTGTAAGCACACTCTATGATGCCTGCACAACGACAAAATTGCCTAAGGATGCATTTCTCAGAACGTATTCCATCATTAAGTGACATATATTGTGTTTTATGTTACCTTTATTTTTTCATTTTAAAAACATTTCTTAGATGTGCTTTTCTATAATTCCTTAAGTCAAATAGTTTAGTTATTTTAAAGCAGTAAATTTGAAGTAGAAACTTAGCCACATCTGATGTGTATTTATATGTATAATAATATTTTCCATTATGTTGTTTAAAAAGCAGTTTATAGTTGAGATTTTGATTTTCTTTTTGACACTATCTAATTATTTTGAAAAATTATCCTTAAAGTGGTCCAGCCTTTTCACTTTGTTTTTTTTAAAAGAATGCTGCTAATTTTTTGGTTTCTTCTTGTTGCCAGGGTATTTGGTCTATAAATTTTTGCTTAGTAGCATGTCTTGAAGTTGCATTTGTGGTTTTAAAAATAACATATCATTAGTGGGGCAAAAATAAACCAATATATCTACTAAATCATTAAAATTACTTAGACTCTTGAGAACAAAGAATATCAAAAGTGATTTGTACATGCTTCAGAGGATATGCAGGTTTTAGAAAATAAACAGTTAAATATTTTTATTTTAGTAAAACAAATTAAGCTCTAGTAGTATTTACTATCCTCTTGATAATGACACTCTCACTCTAATTCCAGTAGATTGATAGCAATGATAGCCCAAGTCTTCACTCATCACTGTGTCCACACCTTTGCTACTCGATTACTCTGACTTTGAGCTCAGCCATGTGACTTGCTTTGGCCAATGGATGTAAGCAAATCTTATGCAAAGCAGAAAATTTCTGGTCTGGTGTGGTGGCTCACACCTGTAATCCCAGCATTTTGGGAGGCCAAGGCAGGCAGATCACCTGAGGTCAGGAGTTCAAGACCAGCTTGGCCAACATGGTGAAACGCCATCTCTACTAAAAATATAAAAAAGTTAGCCAGCTGTGGTGGTGCACAGTTGTAATCACAGCTACTTGGGAGGCTGAGGCAGGAGAATTGTTTGAACCCGGGAAGTGAAGTTTGCATTGAACCAATATCGCGTCACTGCACTCCAGACTAGGCGACAAAGTGAGACTCTGTCAAAAAAAAAAAAAAACAATAGGCTGGAAAATTTCTTACAGGATTGGGCTTGCCTGCTTTCACCCTCTGTCATTGCCGTGAAAACATACCTGGGCTTGCCTGCTGGAAGATGAGAGACAGCTGCAGAAGAGCTGAGCTGCCTGGATAATCCCAGCTGAGGCTGTCCTAGACCAGCTAACAGTCAACCCTTACACATGGGAGCAAGCTTGGCCAAAGTCAGCAGAGCCTCCCAGCTGACCCCTAGCTCAGCTTGGAGGCATGGGTGGGCTCAGCTATAAGCCAGCTGATCCCCTCAGATTTCTGAGCAAAGTATCTATCTTGTATGCTATTAAGGGTTTGTGGTTGTTTGTTACACTGTTTTATTTGACTATAGACAACTGATACCAAAATATTGCATGCCAGGTGTTGTTTATAAGTTTTCTACTATTTGTGGAAGTTTCTAAACAGGAAGGTTGACTGAATCGTCATCCTGCTTTTATCAGCTTTTAGCATCTTGTGATGCATTACAGTTTACCCTTACTTGCTAGGTAGATTTAAAGGTAATTTTCTAGTCTGAATAAAACTAATTTCCCCAAAATAGAAAGATGAATTATAAAGACTCTTACAAAATGATCCTAGGTTTAAGATGATTCTAATAATGTAAGCAAAAGTAAACAACAGCAAGAATTAAAACAAAACAAATCCCCCAAATGGAAGAGCAGTGCTTTTCTTACTCCTGGTGTAAGTCTTCATGAATCCTACAAAGAGGTAACAGCAATGATGATGAAAACAGATTTCCCTAGAAGGGTGGCTAGGTGTATACTCTACCTTGGAATACTATCTCCAGGTAGTGGGAAGCCCTCATGACAGCAAAGCATTTAAGAACTAAACATTCAGAGCCTGAAGACAAGTGTTGGTATTTTTTGAGCCATGTTTAAGATATATGATATTTAATCTAAATGTATTAAAATTATATAACCTATTTAAGATTTCTTTTTGTACAGTAAAACCCCAAAATTCACACACTATAGGAGATACACTTGTTCTTCCTTTCAAGGTAAAAGTCACTGAAGTTATACATAGAAAATCATGACAAACTAAAAGGGCATTCCTTTGTCAGAGACAAGTATTTAAAGACAGGTACTATAGTTTTAATGTCCCCTCCAAAACTCATGTTGAAACTTAATCCCCAATGTGGCAGTGTTGAGTAGTGGGGCCCTTTAAGAGGTAATTGGATCATGAGGGTTCTGTCCTTATGAATGGATTAATCCATTCTTAGTTTAATGAGTTAATAAATTAATGGCTTGTCATGGGAGGAGAACAGTAGCTTTATAAGAAGAGAAAGAGATCTGAGATTGCACATTAACACACTCAATCTCCATGTGATGCCCTGCACTGTCTTGGGCTCTGCAGAGTCATCAGCAGCAAGAAGGTCCTCACCAGATGTGGCCCCTCAACCTTGGACTTAGCCTCTTTAACTATAAAAAATAATTTCATTTTCTTTAGTTTTTCAGCCCTTGCCTCCCACCTTTCCTCCCCATTCTAGTAGTCCCCAGTGTCTATTGTTGCCATCTTTATGTCCATCTGTACTCAATGTATGGCTCTCACTTATTAGGGAGAACATGTGGTATTTGG
Organism: Homo sapiens; assembly: GCF_000001405.40. Classification (NCBI taxonomy): domain Eukaryota; kingdom Metazoa; phylum Chordata; class Mammalia; order Primates; family Hominidae; genus Homo; species Homo sapiens. The sequence goes on from NC_000010.11 coordinate 84,636,337, forward strand.
TTTTCTGTTCCTGCTAGAACAAATTCTTTAATATGGAAGGCTTGCTACTATACAGTTGGATAAAAGTATAGATGCCTCTAAGTCGCTTCAATTTTGAGTGTTTACTAGATGGTCTTGCAGCAATTAAATGTGCAAAGTACATTGTGTGTGTATGTGTTAAGCTGTACTAATACATTTTCTAAATGTACTAGAGAAGATAGTTTTTCAACAGTATATTACCTATTTAATAACGATGTTTAAACTCCCACTGTTCTATGAGAGAGAGATGTAAAATATCACTTAAGTGTAGCTACAGATAGAACAGCTCCTTCTACTGGAATAAAATGGGTCCTAGGGTAAATCACAAACTATACTTGTGAAATTTATCCATTAACACCATTGTATTAGGTTGGTGCAAAAGTAATTGCAGTTTTTGCCATTAAAAATAATGGCAAAATCTTCATTGATCTGTTAAAAAAAAAAGTGGTAGATTCTTCATAACATACTCAAGAGAACACTTGGTAATCTCCTGGAAAAATGTTTCCAAGATTCCTTAAACTTAAAGATAAGCAAAACTTTTTTTTATGCAAAAAGATAATCAATCCAAATTTGATGACTTTTTAAAAGTCCAAGTTGACATTTTGAAGACAAAAACACATTTAATCTGTCCCTTCAAGGTAAGGGTCATGTTTAAACAAGTGAGATATTGATTTATACAGAAAATTGTGCTAAGAAAAGAACATTTCAAAAACAGATGGAATGTCTCTTTCTTACACAATTTTGTTGCTGAAAACAATGTCACAATATTTTTCATATATGTGTACTCAAAACCTTAGAATTATAAAAAATCTCACTTGTTTAAAAAACATTCAAACAATTTTGTTGTTTTTTGAACTTATTTGGTTAAAAAAATCAAAACACAAGGGTGATTCTCCCAGCACAGTGCACCAGCTCTGCTAAGGGACAGACTGCCTCCTCAAGTGGGTCCCTGACCCATGTGCCTCCTGACTGGGAGAGACCCCCAAAAGGTATTGACAGACACCTCATACAGGAGAGCCTCAGCTGGCATCATGTTGGTGCCCTTGTGGGGTGAAGCTTCCAGAAGAAGGAAGAGGCAGCAATCTTTGCTGTTCTGCAGCATCCACTGGTGATTCCTGGGTGAAGAGTATTTGGAGTGGACCTCCAGCAAACTGCAGCAGACCTGCAGAAGAGGGGCCTGACTGTTAGAAGAGAAACTAACAAACAGAAAGCAATAACATCAACATAAAAGACCCCCACATAAAAGCCCCATCCAAAGGTCATCAGCCTCAAAGATCAAAGGTACATAAATCCAAGAAGATGAGGAAAAACCAGCACAAAAACACTGAAAATTCCAAAACCCAGAATACCTCTTCTCCTCCAAATGATTGCAACTCCTCTCCAGCAAGGGCACAAAACTGGATGGAGAATGAGACTGACAAACTGACAGAAGCACGCTTCAGAAGGTGGGTAATAACAAACTCCTCTGAGCTAAAGGAGCATGTTCTAATGCAATGCAAGGAAGTTAAGAGCCTTGACAAAAGGTTATGGGAACTGCTAACTAGAATAACCAGCTTAAAGAGGAACATAAATGACCTGATAGAATTGAAAACCACAGCACAAAAACTTTGTGAAGCATGCACAGAAGTATCAATAGCCAAATCGATCAAATGGAAGAAAGGATATCAGAGATTGAAGATCACCTTACTAAAATAAGGTGTGAAGATAAGATTGGAGAAGAAAGAATGAAAGGGAATGAACAAAGCCTCCAAGAAATATGGGGCTAACCCAACCTAGCAAGACAGGCCAACATTCAAATTTAGGAAATACAGAGAACACCACTAAGATACTCCTTGAGAAGACACATAATCATCAGATTTTCCAAGGCTGAATCAAAGGAAAACCTGTTAAGGGCAGCCAGAGAGAAAGGTCAGGTTACCTACAAAGGGAAGCCCATCAGACTAACAGCAGATCTCGCTGCAGAAACCCTACAAGCCAGAAGAGAATGGGGGCCAGTATTCAACATTCTTAAAGAAAATAATTTTCAAACCCAAGTTTTATATTCAGCCAAACTAAGCTTCATAAGTGAAGGAGAAATAAAATCCTTTACAGACAAGCAAATGCTGAGGGATTTTGTCACCACTGGGCCGGCCTTACAAGAACTGCTGAAGGAAGCACTGAATATGGAAAGGAAAAACCAGAACCAGCCACTGCAAAAACACACCAAAATATAAAGACCAATGACACTATGAAGAAACCGCATCAAATAATGTGCAAAATAATCAGCTAGCATCATGATGACAGGATCAAATTCACACATAACAATATTAACCTTAAATGTAAACGGGCTAAATGCCCCAATTAAAAGACACAGACTGGCAAACTGGATAAAGAGTCAAGACTCATCGGTGTGCTGTATTCAGGAGACCCATCTCACAAGCAAAGACACACATAGGCTCAAAATAAAGGGAGGGAGGAATATTTACCAAACAAATGGAAAGGAAAAAAAAATAAAACCCAGGGGTTGCAATCCTAGTCTCTGATAAAAACAGATGTTAAACCAACAAAGATCAAAAAGGACAAAGAAGGGCATTACATAATGGTAAAGGGATCAATGCAACAAGAAAAGCTAGCTATCCTAAATATATATGCACCCAATACAGGAGCACCCAGGTTCATAAAACAAGTTCTTAGGGACCCACAAGGAGACTTAGACTCTGACACAATAATAGTGGGAGACTTTAACACTACACTGTCAATATTAGACAGATCAATGAGACAGAAAATTAACAAGGATATTCAAGACTTGAACTCAGCTCTGGACCAAGCGGGCCTAATAGATACCTACAGAATTCTCCACCCCAAATCAACAGAATATTTTTCTCAGCACCACAAAGCACTTATTCTAAAATTGACCACATAATTGGAAGTAAAACACTCCTCAGCAAATGCAAAAGGATGGAAATCATAACAAACAGTCTCAGGCCACAGTGCAATCAAATTAGAACTCAGGATTAAGAAACTCAAGGCTGGGAGCAGTGGCTCAAACCTGTAATTCCAGCATTTTGGGAGGCCGAGGCAGGCAGATCGTGAGGTCAGCAGATTGAGACCATCCTGGCTAACATGGTGAAACCCTGTCTCTACTAAAAATACAAAAAATTAGCCAGGCTTGGTGGTGGGCACCTGTAGTCCCAGCTACTCGAGAGGCTGAGGCAGGAGAATGGTGGGAACCCAGAAGGCGGAGCTTGCAGTGAGCCGAGATGGCGCCACTGCACTCCAGCCTGGGTGACAGAGCAAGACTCCATCTCAAAAAAAAAAAAAAAAAAAACAAACAAACAAAAAAAAAAAGAAACTCACTCAAAATCACATAACTATATGGAAACTGAACAAGCTGCTCCTGAATGACTACTGGGTAAATAACTAAATTAAGGCAAAAATAAATAAGTTCTTTGAAACCAATGAGAACAAATATACAACATACTGGAATCTCTAGGACACAACTAAAGCAGTGTTAGGAGGGACATTTATTGCCCTCAGGAGAAAGTGGGAAATACCTAAAATTGACACCCTAATACCACAATTAAAAGAACTAGAGAAGAAAGAGCAAACACTTCAAAACTAGCAGAAGACAAGAAATAACTAAGATCAGAGCAGAACCGAAGGAGATAGAGACACGAAAAACCCTTCAAAAAAATCAATGAATGCAGGAGCTGTTTTTAAAAAAACATTAACAAAGTAGATAGACTGCTAGCCAGACTAATAAAGAAGAAAAGAGAGAAAATCAAATAGACACAGTTAAAAAATGACAAAGTAGGTATCACCACTGATCCCACAGAAATGCAAACCACCAACAGAGAATACTATAAACGCCTCTATGCAAATAAACTAGATAATGTAGAAGAAACTCATAAATTCCTGGACACATACACCCTCCCAAGACTAAGCCAGGAAGAAGCTGAATCCCTGAATAGACCAATAACAAGTTCTGAAATTGAGGTAGTAATTAATAACCTACCAAGCCAAAAAAAAAAAAAAAAAGCCCAGGACCAGATGGATTCACAGCTGAATTCTATCAGAGGTACAAAGAGGAGTTGGTACCATTCCTTCTGAAAGTATTCCAAACAATAGAAAAAGAGGGACTCCTCCCTAACTCATTTTATGAGGCCAGCATCATCCTGATACCAAAACTTGGCAGAGACGCAACAAAAAAAAGAAAATTTCATGTCAATATCCCTGATGAACATCAATGCAAAAATTCTCAATAAAATACTCACAAACTGAAACCAGCAGCACATCAAAGAGCTCATCGACCATGATCAAGTAGCCTTCATCCCTGGGATGCAAGGCCGGTTCAACATACACAAATCAATAAATGCGATTCATCACATAAACTGAACTAAAGACAAAAACAATATGAATATCTCAATAGATGCAGAAAAGACCCTCAATAAAATTCAACATCCCTTCATGTTTAAAACACTCAATAAACTAGGTATCAGAGGAACATACCTCAAAATAATAAGAGCCATATATGACAAACCTACAGCCAAGATCATATTGAGTGGGCAAAAGCTGGAACCATTCCCCTCGCAAACCAGCACCAGAGAAGTTTGCCTTCTTCTACCACTCCTATTCAACATGGTATTGGAAGTTCTGGCCAGGGCAATCAGGCCAGAGAAAGAAATAAAGGGTATTCAAATAGAAAGAGAAGCCAAATTATCTTTGCTTGCAGATGACATGATTCTATATCTAGAAAACCCCATCATCTCAGCCCCAAAACTTCTTAATCTGATAGGCAACTTCAGCAAAGTCTCAGGATACAAAATCAATATGCAACCTGACTAGCATTCCTGTATACCAACAGGCAACCTGAGAGCCAGATCATGAGTGAACTCCCATTCACGATTGCTACAAAGAGAATAAAATACCTAGGAATACAACTTACAAGGGACATTAAGGCCCTCTTCAAGGAGAACGACAAACCACCACTCAAGGAAATAAGAGAGGACATGAACAAATGGAAAAACATTCCATGCTCATGGATAGGAAGAATCACTATCATGAAAATGGCCATACTGCCCAAAGTAATTTATAGATTCAATGCTATTCCCATCAAGCTACCATTGACTTCCTTTGCAGAATTAGAAAAACTACTTTAAATTTCATATGGAACCAAAAAAAAAAGAAAAGAAAAACCAGCCTGTATAGCCAAGACAATCTTAAGGAAAAAGAACAAAGCTGGGGGCATCAGGCTACCTGACTTCAAACTGTACTACAAGGCCATGGTAATTAAACAACATAGTACTGGTACCAAAACAGATATATAGACCAATGGAAAAGAACAGAGACCTCAGAAATAACACCACACATCTATGACCATCTGATCTTCGACAAACCTGACTAAAACAAGCAAAGGGGAAAGGATTCCCTATTTAATAAATGGTGTTGGGAAAACCGGCTAGCCATATGCAGAAAACTGAAACTAGACCCCTTCCTTACACCTTATAGAAAAATTAACCCAAGATGGATTAAAGACTTAAATATAAAATGCAAAACCATAAAAACCCTAGAAGGAAACCTAGGCAATACCATTCAGGACATAGGTATGGGCAAAGCATTCATGACTAAAATACCAAAAGCAATTGCAACAAAAGTCAAAATTGACAAATGGGATCTAATCAAACTAAAGAGCTTCTGCACAGCAAAAGAAACTATTATCAGAGTGAACAGGCAACCTTCAGAATGGGAGGAAATATTTGCAATCTACCCATCTGACAAAGGTCTAATATCCCAAATCTACAAGGAACTTAAACAAATTTACAGGAAAACAAATGAACAACCCTATCAAAAAGTGAGTGAAGGATATGAACAGACACTTTTCAAAAGAAGACATTTATGTGGCCAACAAACAAGAAAAAAAGCTCATCATCACTGGTCATTAGAGAAATGTAAATCAAAACCACAATGAGATATCATCTCACACCAGTTAGAATGACGATTATTAAAAAGTCAGGAAACAACAGATGCTGGTGAGGCTGTGGAGAAATAGGAATGCTTTTACACTATTGGTGGGAGTGTAAATTAGTTCAACCATTGTGGAAGACAGTGTGACGATTCCTCAAGGATCTAGAACTAGAAATACCATTTGACCCAGCAATCCCATTACTGGGTATATACCCAAAGGATTATAAATCATTCTACTCTAAAGACACATGCACACGTATGTTTACTGTAGCACTATTCATAATACCAAAAACTTGGAACCAACTCAAATGCCCATCAATGATAGACTGGATAAAGAAAATGTGGCACATGTACACCATGGAATCCTATGCAGCCTTAAAAAAGAATGAGTTCATCTCGTTTGCAGGTACATGGATGAAGCTGAAAGCCATCATTCTCAGCAAACTAACACAGGAACAGAAATCAAAACACCACATGTTCTCACTCATAAGTGGGAGTTGAACAATGCGAACATATAGACACAGAGAGGGGAACATCACACACCGGGGCCTGTTGTGGGGTGGGGCAAGGGGAGGAAGAGCATTATGACAAATACCTAATGCACATGGGGCTTAAAATCTGGATGATTGGTTGATAGGTGCAGCAAACCACCATGGCACACGTATACCTATGCAACAAACCGGCACGTTCTGCACATGTATCCCAGAGCTTAAAGTGAAAAAAAAAAATCAAAACACATTACCTTCCAATTGATAGCTGGGATGCTAGAAATTTACTAACAGAATTGCAGCAAAAAATTTTCATAATAGATTCAGAAACAGATCAGAAATAGATTCAGCAACAGTGTGATTCTTCTATGTGGTTCTGCAGGCTTTTGTAAGTAGCTTTTTGACTATGAAGGCCATAAACCCAAATATTGACATAAACTGAATTTAGGACCTGACTTATGGAATAGTACCTGATAGATTTTTTTTTTTTTTTTTTTTTTTTTTTTTTGAGACAGAGTCTCTCTCTATTGCCAGGCTGGAGTGCAGTGGCACGATCTCGGCTCACTGGAACCTCCACCTCCTGGGTTCAAGCGATTCTCCTTCCCCAGCCTCCTGAGTAGCTGGGAGTACAGGTGTGTGCCACCAAGTCCAGCTAATTTTTGTATATTTAGTAGAGATGGGGTTTCACCATGTTGGCCAGGATGGTCTCGATCTCTTGACCTCGTGATCTGCCCACCTCGGCCTTCCAAAGTGCTGGGATTACAGGCGTGAGCCACTGTGCCCGGCTGCCAGATAGATTTTTTTTTAAAACAATGAAAGATGTTCAAACCCTTGTCTTCTTTCTCAAGGCTGTTTTCTTCAAATGCAGGGTCATGTGGAACACTGATGTACACAAGATGGACAGTCCAAAATTGGTCTTCTCAGCATCTTTTATGGCCACTCTTGAGACAGTTTGAAACCCACTACTTTTCAGCCTTATTGATTTATTTTTCATTTTTTCTTTTAAAGACTGTAAGTAGTATAGAATTTAACACAGTGTAAAATAGATTTTAAGAGTCCCCTTTATTACCAACAGATTTTGCTTCATTATATTTAATGCTATATTACTTGGCATGTAAACCTTTTTCTGTTAGTATTAGAATGTCATGGTAGAATGCACCTTTACCAAATGTAAAATAATCCCATTTGTTCAGTTTACTATTTTTTTTTTTGTCGATTTGGAATTTACATTTGGAATTTATGTTGGAATAAAAGTGGAGGCATTATGTTGCAATGGACACCGTGCTTCTACTTTTGTTGTCTGATTTACCCTTGTCCAATATTTTAACTTTTTGTATTACTTTGTTTTAGATTCTTAAAAATGACTTGTAGCTGCACTTTCATTCTGGTGCTCATTTAGGAGTCTTTTTGTTTTAAGATGGTAATTTAACTGATTTACAGTTATTGTCAACTTGTGTGTTCAATCTCATTTTTTTATCCTGTTTTTTTCTTTGTTGAAAACCTACCAATAACTTCTGCTCAGAGTTCTTCACTATGTGTAGAGTCTTACTTAATTGTAAAATTTCCCCTGTAGTGATTTACCTATTATACAACTTGTTTGGAATCCTACAAATAAATATATTTAATTAAAACACCTCATTATGGTGTATTTTAATTATTGGCATAAAATAAAATATTTCTATTTTTATCTCAACTTTGGCATGAGGAAAAACACATTTACTTTCCTTTAAGGTTCATGTTTTCTTAAAAAATAATTGATTAAGATGGTTATTGTTACTTTTGCTAATTTTAATCTTCTGTTTTAGAATATATTTCAGCATTTTTTAGACCATATTTACAGCAAATATTTAGACGTATTTATACTTATGGAATTTCATTGCTCACTACCAATTTTTTTTATATCTTAGCTTCTCTATTTTTGAATTTCTTCATTTCTTTTCTATTTAGACAGGCTCCAATGCATTTAAAACAAGTCTTTTGCCAAAGATACACCAGTCATCTAGTTGTACTTGAAAGGAAAAGCCTGAGTTTGGCTTGATATTTTATTTCTTTTCTTTCATGCCATCAGTTTTTCCCTGCCTCCATGTTTACAGATTTTTTTTTCATTCTTGTAATTTTGAAGGTCACCAGGTTATAGTTATTCTTTTTCACTAATTATCTTTTGTAATTGCAGAAAAACTTTAATCTGAGATCTCAGAAGGTATTGCTTCTGTTCAGAAAGGTTTTCTTTTATTCTGTCTCTAATAATTGTTTATTTTCAAAGCATTACAGTTCCTTTCAGGTGCATTGCTTCTGTCTATGTGGCTCTTCATTCCATAGCATCTACAATTTTCAACTCTCTATTTCTTTTCTCTGCACTAAGGAAATTAATTCAAATGAGAAACTAAAGCATATATTTAAAAGAGTTTCTTTTTAAAAAAATTTAGAATGTATTTTGGAGGACAAGTGTAGTTTTGTTACATGGATATATTGCATAGTGGTAAAGTCTGGGCTTTTAGTGTAGCCATAGCCTGAAGAGTGTACGTTGCAACTATTTTTTTTTTTTTTTTGCATTGACCTGGAGATTTTTAAAATTTTTTTTAAATTTATTTATTTATTTATTTACTTATTTTATTATTATTATACTTTAAGTTCTGGGATGCATGTGCAGAATGTGCAGGTTTGTTACATAGGTATACATGTGCCATGGTGATTTGCTGCACCCATCAACCCGTCATCTACGTTAGGTATTTCTCTAATGCTATCCCTTCCCCTTGCCCCACACCCCCCGACAGGTCCCAGTGTGTGATGTTCTCCTCCCTGTCTCCATATGTTCTCATTGTTCAGCTCCCACTTATGAGTGAGAACATGTGGTGTTTTGATTTCTGTTCCTGTGTTAGTTTGCTGAGAATGATGGCTTCCAGCTTCATCCATGTACCTGCAAACGAGATGAACTCATTTTTTTTTATGGCTGCATAGGATTCCATGGTGTATATGTGCCACATTTTCTTTATCCAGTCTATCATTGATGGGCATTTGGGTTGTCTAAGTCTTTGGTATTGTGAATAGTGCTACAGTAAACATACATGTGCATGTGACTTTAGAGTAGAATGATTTATAATCCTTTGGGTATATACCCAGTAATGGGATTGCTGGGTCAAATGGTATTTCTAGTTCTAGATCCTTGAGGAATCGTCACACTGTCTTCCACAATGGTTGAACTAATTTACACTCCCACCAATAGTGTAAAAGCATTCCTATTTCTCCACAGCCTCACCAGCATCTGTTGTTTCCTGACTTTTTAATAATCGCCATTCTAACTGGTGTGAGATGGTATCTCATTGTGGTTTTGATTTACATTTCTCTAATGACAGTGATGATGAGCTTTTTTCATATGTTTGTTGGCCACATAAATGTCTTCTTTTGCAAAGTGTCTGTTCATATCCTTCACCCACTTTTTGATGGGGTTGTTTGTTTTCTTGTCAATTTGTTTACATTCATTGTGGATTCTGGATATCAGTCCTTTGTCAGATGGATAGATGGCAAAAATTTTCTCCCATTCTGAAGGTTGCCTGTTCACTCTGATGATCGTTTCTTTTGTTGTGCAGAAGCTCTTTAGTTTGATTAGATCCCATTTGTCAATTTTGACTTTTGTTGCAATTGCTTTTGATGGTTTAGTCATGAAGTCTTTGCCCATGCTTATATCCTGAATGGTATTGCCTAGGTTTCCTTCTAGGGTTTTTATGGTTTTGCATTTTACACTTAAGTCTTTAATCCATCTTGAGTTAATTTTTCTATAAGGTGTAAGGAAGGGGTCCAGTTTCAGTTTTCTGCATATGGCTAGCTGGTTTTCCCAACACCATTTATTATATAGGGAATCCTTTCCCCATTGCTTGTTTCAGTCAGGTTTGTCAAAGATCAAATGGTTGTAGATGTGTGGTGTTATTTCTCAGGCCTCTGTTCTGTTCCACTGGTCTATATTTCTGTTTTGTTACCAGTATCATGCTGTTTTGGTTACTGTAGCCTTGTAGTATAGTTTGAATTCAGGTAGCATGATGCCTCCAGCTTTGTTCTTTTTGCTTAAGATTGTCTTGGCTATACGGGCTGTTTTTTTGGTTCTGTATGAAATTTAAAGTAGTTTGTTTTCTAATTCTGTGAAGAAAGTCAATGGTAGCTTGATGGGAATAGCATTGAATCTATAAATTACATTGGGCAGTATGGCCATTTTCACAACATTAATTCTTTCTATCCATGAGCATGGAATGTTTTTCCATTTGTTTGTGTTGCCTCTTATTTTGTTGAGCAGTGGTTTGTCATTCTCCTTGAAGAGGGCCTTAATGTCCCTTGTAAGTTGTATTCCTTGATTAATTCTTTCTATCCATGAGCATGGAATGTTTCTCCATTTGTTCGTGTCCTCTCTTATTTCCTTGAGTGGTGGTTTGTTGTTCTCCTTGAAGAGGGCCTTGATGTCCTTTGTAAGTTATATTCCTAGGTATTAATTCTTTCTATCCATGAGCATGGAATGTTTCTCCATTTGTTCATGTCCTCTCTTATTTCCTTGAGTGGTGGTTTGTCGTTCTCCTTGAAGTGGGCCTTAATGTCCCTTGTAAGTTGTATTCCTAGGTATTTTATTCTCTTTGTAGCAATTCTGAATTGGAGTTCACTCATGATTTGGCTTTCTGTTTGTCTATTATTGGTGTATAGGAATGCTTGTAATTTTCGTGCATTGATTTTTGTATCCGACTTTGCTGAAGTTGCTTATCAGCTTAAGGAGTTTTTCAGCTGAGGCGATGGGGTTTTGTAAATATACAGTCATGTTATCTGCAAAGAGAGATAATTTGACTTCCTTTCTTCCTATTTGAATACTCTTTATTTCTTTCTCTGGCCTGATTGCCCTGGCCAGAACTTTCAATACTATGTTGAATAGGAGTAGTGAGAGAGGGCATCCTTGTCTTGTGCCAGTTTTCAAAGGGAATGCTTTCAGCTTTTGTCCATTCAGTATGATATTGGCTGTGGGTTTGTCATAAATAGCTCTTACTATTTTGAGACACATTCCATCAATACCCAGTTTATTGAGTGTTTTTAGCATCAAGTGTTGTTTAATTTTATTGCAGGCATTTTCTGCATCTATTGAGATAATCATGTGGTTTTTGTCATTGGTTCTGTTTATGTGAGGGATTAAGTTTATTGATTTGCATATGTTGAACCAGCCCTGCATCCCAGGGATGAAGCCAACTTGTTTGTGGTGGATAAGCTTTTTAATGTGCTGCTGCATTAGGTTTGCCAGTATTTTATTGAGGATTTTTGCATCGATGTTCATCAGGGATAGTGGCATGAAATTTTCTTTTTTTGTTGTGTCTTTGCCAGGTTTTGGTATCAGGATAATGCTGGCCTCATACAATGAGTTAGGGAAGAGTTTCTCTTTTTCTATTGCTTCTAATAGTTGCAGAAGGAATGGTACCAGCTCCTCTTTTTACCTCTGGTAGAATTAGGCTATGAATCCGTGTGGTCCTGGGCTTTTTGTGGTTGGTAGGCTATTAATTACTACCTCAATTTCAGAACTTACTATTGGTCTATTCAGGGATTCGACATCTTCCTGGTTTAGTCTTGGGTGGGTGTCTGTGTCCAGGAATTTATCTGTTTCTTCTAGATTATTTTGTTTATTTGCGTAGAGGTGTTTATAGTATTCTTTGTTGGTAGTTTGTATTTCTGTGGGATCAGCGGTGATATCCCATATCCCCTTTATCATTTTTTTTACTGCGTTTATTTGATTCTTCTCTCTTTTCTTTTTTGTTATTCTGGCTGGTGGTCCATCTATTTTGTTAATATTTTCAAAAAATCAGCTCCTGGATTCATCGATTTTTTTCAAGGGTTTTTCATGTCTCTATCTCCTTCAGTTGTGCTCTGATCTTAGTTATTTCTTGTCTTCTGCTAGCTTTTGAATTTGTTTGCTCTTGCTTCTCTAGTTCTTTTAATTGTGATGTTAGGGTGTCAATTTTAGATCTTTCCCCCTTTCTCCTGAGGGCATTTAGTGCTATAAATATCCCTCTTAACACTGCTTTAGCTGTGTCCTAGAGATTCTGATATGTTGTGTATTTGTTCTCATTGGTTTCAAAGAGCTTACTTATTTTTGCCTTAATTTCGTTATTTAGCCAGTAGTCATTCAGTAGCAGGTTGTTCAGTTTCTATGTATTAGTGTGGTTTTAAGTGAGTTTCTTAATCCTGAGTTCTAATTTGATTGCAGTGTGGTCTGAGAGACTGTTTGTTATGATTTCCTTTCTTTTGCATTTGCTGAGGAGTGTTTTAGTTCCAATTATGTGGTCAATTTTAGGATACGTGCTATGTGGTGCTGAGAAGAATGTATATTCTGCTGATTTGGGGTGGAGAGTTCTGTAGATGTCTATTAGGTCCACTTGGTCCAGAGCTGAGTTCAAGTGTGAATATCCTTGTTAATTTTCTGTCTTGTTGATCTGTTTAATATTGACAGTGGGTGTTAATGTCTCCCACTATTATTGTGTGGGAGTCTAAGTCTCCTTGTAGGTCTCTAAGAACTTGCTTTATGAATCTGGGTGCTCCTGTGTTGGGTGCATATATATTTAGGATAATTAGCTCTTCTTGTTGCATTGATACTTTAGCATTATGTAATGCCCTTCTTTGTCCCTTTTCATCTTTGTTTGTTTAAAGTCTGTTTTATGAGAGACTAGGATTGCAACCCCTGGTTTTTTTTCTTTCCATTTGCTTGGTAAATATTCCTCCCTCTCTTTATTTTGAGCCTATGTATGTCTTTGCACACGAAACGGGTCTCCTGAATACAGCACACTGATGGGTCTTGACTCTTTATCCAATTTGCCAGTCTATGTCTTTTAATTGGGGCATTTAGTCCATTTACATTTAAGGTTAATATTGTTATATGTGAATTTCATCCTGCCATTATCATGCTAGCTGGTTATTTTGCCCGTTACTACATTCAGTTTCTTCATAGTATTGATGGCCTTTATAATTTTGCATGTTTTTGCTGTGACTGGTACAGGTTTTTCCTTTCCATGTTTAGTGCTTCCTTCAGCAGCTCTTGTAAGGATGGCCTGGTGGTGACAAAATCTCTCAGCATTTGCTTGTCTGTAAAGGATTGTATTTCTCCTTCTCTTATGAAGCTTAATTTGGCCGGATATGAAATTCTGGGTTGAAAATTCTTTTCTTTAAGAATGTTAAATATTGGCCCCTACTCTATTCTGGCTTATATGGTTTTTGCAGAGAGATCCACTGTTAGTCTGATGGGCTTCCCTTTGTGGGTAACCTGACCTTTCTCTCTGGCTGCCCTTAACATTTTTTCCTTCATTTCAACCTTGGTGAATCTGATGATTATGTGTCTTGTGGTTGCTCTTCTTGAGGAGTATCTTAGTGGTGTTCTCTGTATTTCCTGAATTTGAATGTTGGCCTGTCTTGCCAGGTTGGGGAAGTTCTCCTGGATAATATCCTGAAGTGTGTTTTCCAACTTGGTTCCATTCTCCCCATCACTTTCAGGTACACCAGTCAAATATATGTTGTTCTTTTCACATAGTTCCATATTTCTTGGGGGCTCTTTTCATTTGTTTTTCTCTAATGTTGTCTTCATGCTTTATTTCATTAAGTTGACCTTCAATCTCTGATATCCTTTCTTCTGCTTGATCGATTTGGCTATTGATACTTGTGTATGCTTCACAAAGTTCTTGTGCTGTGTTTTTCAGTTCCATTAGGTCATTTATGTTTTCTCCACTGGTGATTCTAGTTAGCAGTTCCTGTAACCTTTTATCAAGGTTCTTAAGCTTTCTTTCATTGGGTTAGAACATGCTTTTTTAGCTCAGAGCAGTTTGTTATTACCCACCTTCTGAGACCTACGTCTGTCAATTCATCAAACTCATTCTCTGTCCAGTTTTGTTCCCTTGCTGATGAGGAGTTGTGATCCTTTGGAGGAGAAGAGGCATTCTGGATTTTGGAATTTTCATCCTGTTTGCACTGTTTTCTTCCTGATCTTTGTGGATTTATCTACCTTTGGTCTTTGATGTTGGTGAACTTTGGATGGGTTTTTTTGCATGGTCATCTTTTTTATTGATGTTGATGCTATTCCTTTCTGTTTGTTAGTATTCCTTCTAACAGTCAGGTCCCTCTTCTGCAGGTCTGCTGGAGTTTGCTGGAGGTCTGCTCCAGACCCTGTTTGCCTGGGTATCACCAGCAGAGGCTGCAGAACAGCAAAATTGCTACCTGTTCCTTCCTCTGGAAGCTTTGTCCCAGAGGGGCACCCACCTGTTGCCAGTTGGAGCTTTCCTTTATGAGGTGTCTGTTGACCCCTGTTGGGAAGTGTCTCCCTGTCAGGAATCATGGTGGTCAGGGACCCACTTGAGGAGGCAGTCTGTCCCCTAGCAGAGCTCCAGTGCTGTGGTGGAAGATCCACTGCTCTCTTCAGAACTGGCAGGCCGGAACATTTAAGTCTGCTGAAGCTGTGCCCACAGCCACCCCTTCCCCCAGGTGCTCTGTCCCAGGGAGATGGGAGTTTTATCCATAAAGCCCTCACTGGGGCTGCTGCCTTTCTTCCAGAAATGCCCTGCTCAGAGAGGTGGAATCTAGAGAGGCAGTCTGGCTACAGTGGCTTTGGGGCACTGCTGTGGGCTCCACCCAGTCCAAACTTCCTGCCGGCTTTGTTACACTGTGAGGGGAAAATAGTCTACTCAAGCCTCAGTAATGGTGGATGCCCCTCCCCCCACCAAGCTGGAGCATTCCAGGTCGACATCAGACTGCTGTGCTGGCAGCCAGAATTTTTTTTTTTTTTTTTTTTTGAGACAGAGTCTGGCACTGTCGCCCAGGCTGGAGCGCAGTGGCACAATCTCGGCTCACTGCAAGCTCCACCCCCTGGGTTCATGCCACTCTCCTGCCTCAGCCTCCCAAGTAGCTAGGACTACAGGTGCCCACCACTACGCCTGGCTAATTTTTTGTATTTTTAGTAGAGACATGGTTTCACCATGTTAGCCAGAATGGTCTCGATCTCCTGACCTTGTGATTCGCCCGCCTTGGCCTCCCAAAGTGCTGGGATTACAGGCGTGAGCCATGGCAGCCAGAATTTGAAGCCAGTGGATCTTAGCTTGTTGGGCTCCATGGGGGTGGAATTCACTGAGCAAGACCACTGGGCTCCCTGGCTTCAGCCTCATTTGCAAGGGAGTGAATGATTCTGTTCCAGCCACCACTGGGGTATGAAAAAAAACTTGCAACTAGCTTGGTGTCTGCCCAAATGGCCACCCAGTTTTGTGCTTGAAACTCAAGGCCCTAGTGGTGTAGGCACCCAAGGGAATATCCTAGTCTGCTAGTTGCAAAGACAGTGGGAAAAGCATAGTATCTGGGCCGGATAGCACTGTCCCTCATTCATGGCTTCCCTTGGCTAGCAGAGGGAGTTCCCCGGCCCCTTGTACCCACTGTCTAACCAGTCCCAGTGAGATGAGATGGGTACCTCAGTTGGAAATGCAGAAACCACCTGCCTTCTGCGTTGGTCTCTCTGGGAGCTGCAGACTGGAGCTGTTCCTATTTGGCCATCTTGCCCAGGGAATCCCATTCCAACTATTAAGTAATATCTCATTCCTCACTTCCCTCCCACACTCTGCTTCTTCTGAATCTCCAGTGTCTATTATTCCACTTCCTATGTACACGTGTACACATTCTTTAGCTCCCACTTGTAAGTGAGAACATGTGGTGTTTGATTTTATGTTTCTGAGTTGTTTCACTTAAGATAATGGCCTCCATCCAGTTATGATGATGTTGCTGCAAAAGACATTATTTTATTCTTTTCTATGGCTGAGTAGTATTCCATGGTGTGTATGTATGTATGTATATATATATATATACACACACACACATATCAAATTTTCTTTATCCAATCATCCATTGATGAACACTTAGGTTTATTCCATGACTTTGCTATTGTGAAGAGTGTGACAATAAACACGCAGGTTTATTTTTAATATAATGATTTCTTTTCTTTTGGGTAGATACCCAGTAGTGGGGTTACTAGATTGAATGGTATCTTTATTTTCAGTTCTTTGAGAAATCTCCATACTCTTTTCCATAGAGGTTGTACTAATTTACATTCCCACCAACAGCATATGAGCATTCCCTTTTCTCCATATTATTGCCATTATCTTTTGTTTTTGACTTTTTAATAATGGCCATTCTGACTGGCATAAGATGATATCTCGTGGTTTTAATTTGCATTTCTCTGATGATATTGGTTTAAAATACTTAAAAAATCTTCTTCTTGAACTTTGGGTGCCGTGTTTTCTTTTCTTTGTAACTGTATCTATTGCCTCTTACTTTTTTCTTTGGAAGCCTGTAGGTCCAGGGGCTTCCTCCATCCCTTTCTCTGGCAGCCAAGACTTGGTTCCTTGGATGCTCCTTCCTTGGATCTTGAAGGGATGTATACAATTCATTTTTGGACACAGCAGCAGTAGCAGTGGCGTGCAGTACCGGCAGTGTTTGTGTCCAGCAGGGGTGGCAAGGATGTCCTGCCCAGAACATTCATGTTAGGTTGTTCACTGGGGTGGTCATTTGTCCTTAATTTCACTGTTCATTGTGTGATCTTGTTGGGGTACCAAGTTAACTTCCCACAGTGGAAGCTGAAAAGCCAGATATGAAATCTTAGGCCCTGCACAAACCAAGGGCTGGTCAATGAGATAGACTTACTTGGCATTTTCAATCCAAAGTTAGGAATGCAAAGACATAAGCCAGCAGAGAATTCACTGGCTGTCTGCAGTGGTAACAACCATGGCCTAGTTCCAGGGGCAGCAGTGATGGTGCTGGGGCAGCATCTGAAGTGTTGTCACCTGGGTTTGGGCTAATGCTTCACCACCCAGTGTTCAGCCTCTGAAGCACACGTGCCATCCTAGATTGGTCCTGTGGGAAGAGTTCACGTGTTTCTTTCTTTTTTTTGAGAGAAGGTCTGGTTCTGTTTCCCAGGCTGGAGTGGTGCAGTGGCACAATCTCGGCTCACTGCAACCTCCGCTTCCTGGGCTCAAGTGATCCTCCTACCTCAGCCTGCCGAGTAGCTGGGACCAGAGGTGTGCGCCACCACGCCCAGCTAATATTTTGTGGAGATAAGGTTTCGCCATGTTGCCCAGGCTGGTCTCAAACTCCTGAGCTCAAGCAATCCATCCACCTCGGCCTCCCAAAGTGGTGGGATTACAGGTGTGGGCCACTGCACTGGGCCAAATTCATGTGTTTCTGGCAGTACCTCTTCTTTTTGATCCTGATCATTTTCTGAGCTTGATTCTCCAGTCTTTTCTGTCAATTCTGGAGCTCCCAAAGATGCTGTTGGTAAATTTATTTTCCCTTAAATCAGCCACAGGTAGTTTGTCTAGCATTTAAGTAAGAGCCTGCCTGATGAGTTCTGCATCCTACTCTTTAGATCTTAAATTGGCTAGTGTCTGTGCCTTTTCAACCCTTATCCCCTAGCCACCTCTTAAGTCTAAGTTTTAAGTTTTGCTTAATATAATCCACAATTATTTTACATTCAGTGGAACCAAGATCCCTGACCAATACCATGTGCTTTTGTGAAAACTCTGATGTTTTCCTGGTTTATTTAGAAGGTGAAAGGTCTCTGGAGGTTTGGTGTTTCCTTGTTAGCTGGTGAATCAATTTGCTTGACTATTTAACATTAATTTTGCTGCTGTTAGAATTATCATCTCAGATCTTAAGCTATGGGATGATTGACATACACAGCTTCAACCACATTTTCCGGGGTTTATAAAGTTTTTTTTAGTGCAAAACTGTTGAATTAAAAAGAATCCTTTTGGTTCTACTTCTTTGTTATTTGCTGAAAAGAGTAGTTTTTTCCCCTGGATAATATGAGTGAGATGGTAGCTTTGTGTCTAAAAACAGGAATGAAGTTTTCATGCTCACCTTTTACCCTCTATGTCCCCAGCTCCATGCCCATCTGTGTACTACCCACCGTGTTCTTCAAAGCTTAGCCTGTGCCTACTGCTGACCTCTTTATCACAGGTAGAGATTTTAACACTGAACCCACTGTTAGCTTTGGTTTCTGTGGCTGGGTATTAGTGTTGTTGAACTCAGTGGTACATAACTCTCTGGGGAAAAAAAGCTGCACACCTGGAGAGGAAGCCTGTTCATTCATTTACTGCAGCCCTCGTGAGTAACTTCCTTCTCATCTGATTGTGGCTTTTCTACTGGTGAGCAAACACTTCTTTTTTTTTTTTTTTTTTTTTTTTTTTTTAAGGGAGGAGTATCCATTGGAAATGGGTGGACAAAAACATTTTTTAATTTTCTTTGGCTAGTTGATAATCTTTTGCACATTAGGCAGATGTTTACCTAAATTACAGTTTCAATTTTTATTGAAATTTTACAAAGCCTTTTATACTGTGTATTTTTAGGAATAGTTAATAAAGTGGTGGAATAGAGCATTAGATATCTCAGACTTTCCATTGGCATAATCTGTTCCATATTGCTGAGGGAAATTTTAAGCATTTGAGAGCCTAGTACTGCAAACTCTGAAAAAGAGCTTATAGCAATGCCTTGTAATAGTGTATGAAAGCCTTCATTATCAAGGCACTGATTTAGGTAATAATCTGGAAAAAATAAAGTTGGATCTCTACCTCACTCTTTACACCAAAATAAAAATTCCAGATATATTAAATACTAAAACTTAAAAAATGAAACAAACAAAAAAAAAGATCAGGTAGGAAACAGGAAAGGAAACTTTTTATTTATTTATTTATTTTTAATTAAAAAGTAAACTTTAATGTAGCAAATGCAAACTTGGGGAAGACAGAGAAGATTACACACAAGGCTGTCATTTCACACTTGGAAGGTTGCACAGCACCGGGCAGAGGCGCTCCTCACTTCCCAGACAGGGCAGGGGCCGGGCAGAGGCGCTCCTCACTTCCCAGAGGGTGAAAAGGAAACTTTTTAAACCCCAAAATTGAAAAGAAGTTTGAAAGCACTTCACAAACTCCAGAATTCTTAAGAGGAAAAAATGGATAAATATGACTCTATAAAAATAAAATGGTTCTTTATGGAAAAAATATTAGACACATAATTAGAAGACAATTAAAAACCTGGAAAAATATTTGCAACATATATGATAAAGAACACATCTTATAATATATAAAGAGTATTTAAAAATCAATAAATATCACCTTTCCAGTAGGCAGAAAACATAATTCATAAAAATGGAAAAAAAAGGTCTTTTAGTTTGTAAGGAAAATGCTCAACTTCACTTATAATAAGATAAATGTAAATGTAAACCAATGAATTGTGCAGCTGCACAGACCCAGACTCATGAGATACAAAAGGCCTTAAACTAATATTAGAGTCACTTAGTTTCTTGAAAAGATTTCTTGAAAGTAAAACTGCACAGCACCTTCATCTCCTTGGGAGACTAAGCAACTTCTTAAGTAGATAATTTCTTTGGCCCTCTCACTCACGTGGGTTATGCGTGGATGCCGTGGACAAGCACCAAGGTGCATGTATCACACCGACATTCTTTTATACCTTTGTGTTTATGGTGGTCCAAGACTTGTGTGCCATCTCACAATTTCCCCAGGGCAGGAGCACTGTAGATGAGGCAGATGCAGTGTTCCAATTTTATTTATCTTTGTACTTTCTGAGGAAACAGGACTCTGAGGTCATTGTCCCAGGCATTTCTGGGTTAGCCCAGCTCTGAGATTAGCCATTACTTTGAAGACTGTAATATTGATTAGCAAAGAGCACAGGTGTCATAACACACCATGCTAGGTGAAGGTGTAGTGGAACTGTCACTTTGTCCATTGTTGGTAGGAACTTGGAAGGGTAGTTTGAACATTCCTAGTAAAATTTAAAATGCATATTCTCTTTACTTTGGCAGTTTTGATTATAGGAATTTGTTTTACAGATGTATCCAAAGAACAGTGTAAGAGAATTTACTACAGCTCTGATTATATTAGCAAAATAATGGAAACAACCTAAAAGTTCATCTTCAGGGGCCTAATGAAAGAAAATATGGTAAATCAGTTCACAGAAATACCACACAGTCATTTCAAAAGGAGAGGCAGACCTATATGCTCAAAGATGGAACACTGTTAGAGCCATATTAAATGGAAAAAGCAAGGAATGGAACGGCATGTATAGAAATGAACCTTTGTGAGGAAAGGGAATGTATATACCCTATGATTGTGTTTGCGTGGACTATCCTTGGAAATATGGGCAAGAAACTGTAGCGTTTTTAACGGGAGAACGGGAGAGAGAAAGAGGTTCACTTTTTACTTCAGAGCCTTCTGTATTCTGTGAATTTTTCTTAAAAAGTCACGTGTATGCATTAACTATTCAAAAAATAAAAACATAATAAATATATACATTGAAGAGTTATTGTTGTAGGGTTATTGTGGCTTAGGAGAAAAAAGCACATTTTTCTCTGATGAAATAAAATATTTAACTTATTTAAAAAAAAGGGGTCATAAAACTCTTGTCAAAAAATAGGATAGTTTTACTTCCATTAAGTTGAATTATCATAACAATATTGGACTCCAGAGTTATATGATGGAAATACTGCTGGTGGTTATTTCTGCTGGGCTTAAGTAGAGTCAATAATCACTTTCCTAATTTCTTTCTTCACGTTTCCTGTATAACCCATTGTATAACCCATTGTACACGTTTCCTGTATAACCCATTGTCACGAGCTTCTGAATTGCCACACCCAATCACCACTTTCCAATTGTTACCTTATTCTACCTGTTGGCCCCTTTTGTGGGAGTAATTGTCAAATATGATTTTTTTTCCTTAAACTGATCTCACTCCTTGGCTTTCATGACATTGCTTCAGAATCTCCTTCCTCATTAATCCTTCACCCTCTGCCTGGTACTTTGATTTCTGCCTTGGAAACATCTTTAGAATCTTCTCTCTTATCTTTACCCCAAGGGAATTGCCTGAAGTTCTGCCTCCTACATGGTCCCCTTTTCTGGTATCATCAGCTTCAGTCAAGGTTCGATAAGGTCACTCACCTCTATGTGTGGCTCAGAAACACTCACTGACTCCTTTTGGAGGTTCATGCCAATACTCCAGGTGGCATCTAAGAGCCCTCACACTCTGGTCCTCAGCCTTCTATCAGCCTCCCCCACCCCATGCACCTCCCTACTCAAGTCCTCTTGGTTGCGAGTGCAGAAACCCAGCTGGACCTTGCTTCATTCAAGATGGGACTTTATTGGAAGGATCCTGTGACATCTCCTAAAATGACAAAGCCTCAGTGGGTCAGCTCAGGGAGGGGTTAGGGCCCCTCCACCTCTCATTCTCTTGAGTTTGACTCTTGGCTTCTCTCTTCTGCAGATCGTTCTTTCCCACATGGAGGAAAATGGACACCAATACCTTTTGAGCTTTTTTTGTTTTGTTTTGTTTTGTTTTGAGCTTCAGCCACTGAAGGTGAATGGATTCTGTCCATCTCAAGACCCAAATTCTCAGGAAAGTGAT
This sequence comes from Homo sapiens, assembly GCF_000001405.40. Taxonomy (NCBI): domain Eukaryota; kingdom Metazoa; phylum Chordata; class Mammalia; order Primates; family Hominidae; genus Homo; species Homo sapiens. Next base: position 84,658,236 of record NC_000010.11, read on the forward strand.
TCATTGGCCTCACTTGGTCTAGGCAGGAAGAATCGAGAAAGACCATGGCAGCTTCCCTGCAAACCACCTGGATGGAGCTGGGGAAATGCAATTTCCAGAAATGGGGTGGGTCTGGGCTGCAGTCCTGCAGTTGGCTGTAAGCTGCCCAAAACTCTGGATGCTTGGACCCCTCAGCATTCACCACCCTACCTGTGCTTTTCAACATGTCTCTCCTCCTGCCTGGACTCCCTTATGCATTCATGAGTCTTCTAAGCAACTCTCTTCTTCCCCATCACTCACAAATACAGAAGTGGTGACTATTTCCCCAGCAATTCCAAAGCTCCTTGTATAACAGTGCTATCAACAGTGTATCACACTGCTTATAAAATATCAGTTTATGAGTCTGTCTGAACCAGTAGATGGTGAACTTCTCCTGGTCTCTCTCTTTCATGCATTGCACTGTTATCATTTAGTAAAAGTCTGTTGAAGAAGGAAGGAGAGAAAAGAGGACCCTGTAATCCCCAGAGCTTTATTCTTGGACCTGCTCTCCTTCTTCCCTTCCCCTTGGGTGAATTTGCTTGGTACGTTGGGGGTTGGAGGGAGAGCTGAAAAGTGGCTGTCCTCTGTAGGATGGACACCTCAGAGACCCTAGTCTCTGTAATCCCTCTGTGTACTCTCAGCTAAGGGCACCTGGAAGTGGGGAGGTGGGAGTGAAGATGTGGAACAGAAACCAATTCTCCTGGGAAGAGCTGTGGGCATCTGAAACCTTCAGAACCTCTCCAGCGTTTCCTCTGTTGAGACCTGGTTTCTGTTAAAGTCCTACCAGTTCCCATGAATTTGGCCTTTGAGAGAATTTCTCTCTCATCCTTCCCAGGAAAGATTTAATGAAGGAGATGCAGCTGGCTTAGCTGCTGCCATTGCGAGGCTGTCCTTTGACCTTCACCATCACAGCTCAGCCTGGAGGTGGAATACTTTCTCCAGAGAGTCCTCGCCAGTGTTTGCTTGGGCCGTTAATACCGCCAGGTGGCACAGAGGTACTTATAAGGCCTCCCTCAAGTGCCCCTTTATTATGAAAACTATCACATTTTTAAGGCTAAAGAGGTTGTGGAAACAAGACTCTGTGGTGCACACTCAGTTATTGCCCAAAGCAGAGAAAGCTGGAAGAAGAGCCGAGGAACAGGGTGACATTCACCTGCAAAAGTGTCTTTTCGATTCCACAGAGTGCTGGGTCTAAGGGAAGTTTAGGGTTGGGCTATCAGATTATAACAATTAATGGAGGCCCAAATGGTTGGAAGATCTGGAGGACACTGACCAATCAGAAGCATTGCAGGCAGGAAAGCCCCAGGTCCTGCCTACGTGAGGTTTCTTCTCTTTTCTGGTCTCCAGACAGGCTCCTTGCTCTCCCCATCATCTGGCCTCTGTGTACTCATCTTCCCCTGACAGACAAAAATCCCTGGGATGGGGCTTTGAAAGCCCACTGGGGCTCAGGCTGTAGGAACTGGTACTCAGGATATTTTCAGTTCATAACTCACAGAACCAAAACGTGCCATTCTGGCAACCCTCCCTCCTCCCAGTATTACCCATCACAGCGAGTAAGCCCAAGCCTCGGGGTATCCCAAGAGGCATTCCTCCTCTTCCCCTTTTCCAGATAGATGGAATTACTCACTAAGTTCATTCAGTTTGACACAAAAATATTCTTAAATTTTTCTCTTTGCAGCCCCAGCTCAAATTTTCTTCATTTCTAGTGCACTAGCAGCCCTGCTGACTAAGCAACTCCAGAGCTGATTTCTCCCCCTCAGCCCACCCTCCTAAAGTCCACAGAGTTAATCCTTCAGCTGCAGGCCACTCCCCTTCTAATAGCCTTTCTGCTGCCTTGGCACCTGACTGCTCATCCAGGTTGAGGTGGCTATGCAGGTCTCTACACTTAAAAAGAAATTCTCTGAAAGTCTGCACGTTTGTCTCGGCTCCCATGTGCCTCAGTGTGATGTGTCCATGGGTGTTTGAGTCTGGAACTGAACATCCACGTGTCTAAGGCTGTGCAAGACCAAACAGATGAAAGCCGGCTTTGTATCTGTGCATATCTACACGTCTCTGCGAATGGGTGCTGAGGATTTGTGTGTGGTGAGTGTGTGCTCACCTGGGTGTTCGTGTGTGAGTTTTGGTGTGTGTCTATGTGTGTATTTGGTGTGTGTATATGTGTGAATATGTGCGTAATCCTGCATATTCTCCATCCTTTGTTGTTTCTCTGAGCCTGGCCCTCTGGGAGGGTGAGTGATTGCTGTTGACAGGGAATGTTCCAATAAGGAACAGTGTGAAAGAAATCATTTCACACTCCCCATAGAGTAGACCATGCGCTCTGTTCTTGGCAAGTGAGTTGTTGCTGAGTTACTGAAAGTCAGCTCCTCTCCTGTCCTGCTATGAAGCATCGACCGGTCGCTGGCTGTTTTTAACACAAGCAAGCTCCACTTCTTTCTGAGGCTCCTCTGACGAGGTAGGGAGTGCAGCACCAGGCAGGCCCTCATCTTTCTCTGAGATTTACTGAGTCAGGGAGAGCATAGGGCAGCCCGCGTGGGGAGGGCTGAAAGTGCCCAGGCTCCTGGAGAAGAGATGAGGCACTGTGTAGGATTCGGGGCAGGGCAGAACTTTTCATTGCTGTGGCTCTTCTGGCTTTAGGGCTATCTGTAACAGAGCAGACTAAAGTGAAAGCTTTATAGGAAAGGGTTTATTTGAAAAGAACTGGTTGAGAGGAAGTGAGGTGTGAGCAAGTTCCAGGAAGATAAGTCTGGGCTGTGAAGAACCCAAGTTAAGAGCACCAAGGCAAGCAGGTCAGAGCCTGAATCTCAGGCCAATATTTTCCTTCAGGGCCGCCTTGTCCTGGGTTCATCTTTAGATGAGTTGCTCAGAGCTGGATTTTTCTTCCTCTTCCTGTCCCCACCCCTCCACTTACCAGCTTCTGGGTCTCTTTCTGGCCACTCTAACAACCAAACCATCTCACTATCACGTTTGTAAAGATGTCAGATAAACCCTAAATAAAGAAAAGCCTTTGATGCATAAAACATCAGGACTCCAGCCTCAGCTTTCCCTACCTGGGCATTGTGTAAAGGAGGAGAAGGTAGCCGGAGCCAGACAGTACATTGCTCTCCAGCAGAATGAATAGCAGCTGCAGAGCAGCAGCTGCAGCTCACACCTCCTGACGCCCCAATGAGTGTCCTTTCCACTACACAAAGGTCATTTTGAATGACTTTGGGGGTGTCAGATTACTTTTATTTTATTTAAAACCAGAAAATAACTTCCACTTCTGGGAACATATGAGTGAAGTGGAAACTCATGTAATGAGAGTTAGGAAAAGAGCTTGCGACAGTGGAATCGAGGACTTTCATCTGGAAGGAATGATCCTGCCTTTGAAGAGGCAGTTGTAGGAAGGTTTGATGTAGGCCAGATATGGAGAGTTCTGAGAATGAGTGGCAGAGTGACCAACTTAGACAGTCAGTTCAGTTCAGTCCAGCCATCATTTATTCAAGACCCAGCACAGGCCAGGAGCTGGGAAGGTGCCGGGCACATACAGAGAAGGCTAAGACATGGCTCTGCTATCGAGGAGCTCACATGCTTGTGGGAGAGCCAGAAATCAAAGAATTGCCCAAATGCAATGTGTGGTGAAAGCTCAGATGTCAGTATGTGAGGGTTGCTAAGGGAACAGAAAAGGAGACGTACTGCATCTGCTAGGGCTCAGAGGATGCATAGATGTCAGTACAATGCACAGTGCATGGGGAACTGCATACCTTTGGTCTAGGTGGGGCATAATGTGCAAGGTGGGGAGTGGGAAGTGGAAGATCTGAGAGTTTCCTGAAATCCAGATGACACGGGTCCTTTGAGGCTGTCATAAAGTGCTTAAAAATGGAAATCTACCCACAAGTTTTAAGCAGGGTGATAAATGAATCAGATTTGTGTTTGGTAGCTCCTTCTGGAACTATGTGTAGGGGGCATTCAAAAGAACAAAATCAGAAATGGACACCAATGAGGAGATGGCAGCAATCCTCAGGCAGGGGAGGCCGAGATGGACTGGAAAATATTTAAGAGGTAAAAGTTAGAAGGTGGCATGATAGGATGGTTGTTAGGAGAGAAGGAGCAGCTTACTTTCATGACTTATGGGCAATGTGGAAGGTGTTGTCATTGGCTGGGGTAAGGACTATTTAGTTTCACAAATGGAGACCTGTGGAGATGATGAAGGCTGAACACACATTTAAGGATTTTAGGGACATCCAGAGGAAAATTTCAAAGAATGAGTAAGATCTGATGTTTAGGAGAGAAGTCAAAACTGGAGCTAGAGATTTTGAAATATGCAGCCATGTATGAAGATAAAGTCTCCCAGAGAGGGTCTAGCATGTAAGAAGAACAGTGAGTCAGAAGCAAAACTCTTGGAACCCTAAACTTTAAGTTTAGGGTTAAACAGTAAGAGTAAGAGGGTTCCATGCAAGAGTAAGAGTAAGAGGGTTTCATGACTAGCAGGGCTAGTCATGAGGGGCTAGTCAGAGGGGAACCATGAAGGATTGGAGGGTGGGCTATTGTAGCAAGGGCCAGAATGGGGAATGGAAGTGCTGGAATAAAAAATAATGGTTGTTAGTGCCAGGTACAGAGGGGAGTTAAAGACAGGGAAGGACTGGGCTCGCTGGAGTGGGAATGGAAGTCTGGTTGCAGGAAGTTGAGAGTTGAATGAGATGCTGTGCAGACTGAGTTAGGCCACACTTTGTAGAAGTTCTAGTGAAAAGAGAAGAAGAATCTTACTAGAGGGAACACAACACCAGGGTTTTATTCTTGGGGTGGGGGAGGAGGAAAATAACATACCTATTTATAGAATGAGTACAGAAGCTTGGTGGAGTGGGCGGCTGAGGGTAGAGGAAGGGAAATTGATGGCGGGAGGACTTAGAAGATGCAGAGGGTGGACAGAGAGAACCTTTAGCCTTGGATAAAAAGGGGAACGGAGGGAAGGGGCCAGTTCTGGGTGTGGACCTACATCAGTTTATAGGTGACAGGAGCTAGAAGTCGAGGGAAATGATGCTTCTCTGTCTTAATGAAACAGGAGACAAAGCTTTATGCTGGCCATGTTCAGGGCCTGTGTAAGCAGGCTTGAGAAATATTAGAAAGATATGGATTGGAAATTAGGGAATATGAATGTGGGAGCTAACCACAGACATGGCATGGCCAGAAGAGCCAAGAATCAAGTGAGAATAGTCACGTTTCATTGGCAGTGATGAAATCGCAGAGTTGCAAGGTTTTCTTCAGCAGCGTTCAGTTTCCCAGGTAAAGGGCTCTAGTAAAGGGACTGCTGTGACACTGACCAAGGATTGGGGTTTTGATGGGCAAAGGTGGGAAATGACAGAAATAGTAAGCCCTAACAGTTATTGAGTACACTCTATGTTCCAGACAGAAATATCTAAGCTCTCTATGTCTATTGTTTGGTTTGATTTTTGTCACAACTCTAGGAGGTTGAAATTAGTAATAAATCTATTTAACAGGTGCTGAAACTGAGTCTCAGGTCTAAGTCAAATTTGCCCAAAGTCACCTATGTAGAATGTGCTAGAGACAGGATTCAAAACCAGGCAGTCTCTCGGTTCCAAAGGCAGAAAATGATTCAGGGAGTCAATGATGACATTAAGCTGCCTTTTGAAGCAAAGGAGGCTAGCAGATGGCTGCTGGACTGGAAGAAAATTAAGTCTCCAAAAGACTTGGGAGTCTTTTTTTCCTGAGGACAAAAACTCCCATGGTCATGGATAAGGGCTGGAAGAATGATTACTTGAGGAGTTCAGATACTGATTGCTGGAGTTGAAGAGATATAGGAATGTAATGGTAGTGTGTAGGGTGGAGTGAGGACATTGAAGTATCTCAAGATAATGGAGCTGAAAGGCAATAAATGAATAACTGGCACAGCAGGGGATGAGGTTAACTATGCTTGATACTTGAATTATGGACTAGGCTTTGTTTTTCAATATTGCCAACTTCTCTGCTATTCCTGAATCCCAGAAACCACCCATTTCTACACGCCCAGTTTTCCCAAAGGTGCCTTTCCTTCTTCCAGGAGACAGGAAGCCCATATGAGGCCCCAGTTTACCAGCTTCTTCTAAGAAAGTGATGGTGTCACAGTGGGGATGGGGACTCAGAGAAGCCACAGACCCACAGGGGACAAAGGTGGCACCCGAGTCATTGCCACATCGCCCTTACTGATATGTGTGGGTGAGCTTGGCAGATCTATGCCCAGGAAAGCGTGTGTGTATCTGCGTGTGTGTGCACATATGTGTGTGGTTTGCTTATGGCAACTACCCTAAGAGATGAACACTGTCCATGCCTGTGGGATCAGCCATCAATTCCTTAAATAGAGAAAGGCCCTGGGTTGCTTCATGAGAGAAAAACAGCATGGGAGGCCCAGGAAACTGTGTTTCCCTCCACAATGGGCTGGGGAAGGGACCCCAAGTGACACAGAACAGACTGGAAGTTCTGGGAGGAGGGGGAAGGAGCTGAGTCTGTGAGAGCTATTGCAGGAAGGCCAAGGCCAGAGCAGGCCTGGCAAAGAAAGGGCCTGGAAATCAAAGTAGAAAAGGCTTCAGGGATCCTCTGACAGTCCCTACATCTCTGAGGGGAATTTCAAGATTATTTTTATGACTTTTACAGAGCCACCGTGGGCTTATTCTCAAAGCAGAGCTGTGGTTAAAAGAACACAGTGTATACAACCCAAAATCACTTCAAACCAATTTACATTCTTTGCTGGTACTTTTATAGGCCCATGAAGGGAAAGCATGATCTCTTCCAATGCCTTTTAAATTGCCCTTTTATTCTCTCTCACATTGCCTCCCTCACCACAGCTGCTCCCCAAGACTTGGTCCTCAAAAGACCCCTCTACATGGCTATAGTCTCTCACCCCTGGGTACTTCCCTCTGTATGCCCTTCCTCTCCATTCTGCAACACAAAAGCAAGGATGATGACCTTGGAGGAAGGGAGGAAACGGCATCAGGGCAGGCTATGATGCTGTTTAGTGGGGATGGGCGGGGTGTTAGGGCAAAGTTGGGGACATAGTTATGTTAACATTTTAGTCTGTCACCTTCTGCCTAAGCAATGTGAGGGACGCCACACAGAGAAATCTAATGCCTCAGTGAGTCCCTCCAGATTCCTTCTGCTCACCTGCCCATGCCTCTCCAACCCGCTTGGCCTCCTTTTGCTCTGAGAGCCTGTTAGCATCTTGGGAGTCCCCAGGAACCTGGCTGAGTTGACTTGGACTCTTGTTACAAATCTCAGGAACAGGGGACGAGCAGCCTCATACTCCTGAGATGAAGCATTTGATCCCCTTCCCTTCTGAGATCAACGTCTTTAATGTGAGGGGAAAAAAGGATCCTGAGAAGGAGCAACCACTTGAAGCCTCTGGTTGCCACACCCCCAGAAGAAATTCACACGCACCCTATGACAGGCTATTTCCTGCAGCAGGTCCATCCCCTCTCCCGTTTTCTTAGCCCTGCTTTGATCTTTCAATAGTGAGAACGGGCTGGCTTCTGGGAATCAAATTCAATACTCTTTATTAATTTCTGCCTGGTTACCAACTCCTCCCAGCCCCCTCTCCCATCCCCTCAATGTGTTTGGATGCTTCTGAACCTCTAAGATCTACTTTCTGGCTTCTGCTAATTAGTATCTTTCTGAATATATAGGCAAACACTGTTCACTGAGTATCTGCTACAGCGATCTTGTGCTAGTTACTAAATATTTGTCTCTCAGCTCCAATGCCTCTCAGCTGATGTTGGATTTGGGACTCTACAAGCCCCACATTCCTGCTTTGCCCCTTCTTTATTATGCTGGGCTTTGCCAGTAGAGGGCGCCGGAAGGTGCCTGTAGGGCAGGAGGAGAGGCGTGAGAGGGGAGTGTGCTCCTCCCCACCGCAACCTGCAATGCTCCCCTGCCCCCACAGGCAGCAGAACTCAGTCTGCAGTTTTTCCAACCCTAGACGAGCTAGACTCACTGCACCCCACACCCCCAACACCACTCCATTGCCATGGAGACCCAGCACTGGCTGGTCCGCTCTACTCTAAAGTCTGAGTTTCGTCTCAAAGGACTTCTCTACATTTCTGTTTTAATAATTCCAACCTCTCTCCCTTTGTTCCTCTGGACCTAGTGAAAATGGCTGTTCCTATAGTGACTATTTCTGTAATACCTTAGAGTTCTCTTTTTACCCTTTCCGTTACCTAGTTAATAACTTTACACCTAGTTAGCAATTTTTTATACTAAATTATCTCTGTTCGTATGACTGGTGTGGGTTTGGTCTTGATGGGATCCTCATGCAGATAATAGTTAGGCTGATGAGCCGCAGGAGCTGTCCACGCACAGAACTTGCAGTCTTTATGGCTTCATGTTATTGGACATCCTTGAGTGCCAGGATACATCAGCAGTGCAGTGGGGTGGCATATCGCTCTCTCCATGTCACCTCATCCCTACATTCTAAACATGTCTCTAAATCGTCTATAGACCCTGGTGTTCTACTTCCCATTGATTTCTTAAACTTCATGCCAAGGCTTCTGTAGAGAGTTACATGGCCACAGCTAAGCCTCCAGGGAATCAGGACCTGGCGGATATTCCCAGGCCATGGATTTGGGGGTCAGAATTTATTTGGTGTAGACTAACTCCCAGCAGCCCAAAAGAACTTTGAGTTTTACAGAACTGGAGGGTCTGTGGGGCTGGCAATTTAAATAGCAATTATTTTAGACTTCCTCTGCTTAGTGAACTCACACAGTGTCATGTCTATTTGTCAGATGCACCTATAGAAATCTAAAAAGAAATGGCTTCAAGTAGGGTAAGAGTATACGTATTTTTCATGGGACTAAACATCTGGGACAGGAGTCTAGGTGGGGGGTGGCTCCTGCAAACTGGCATTTGTACCCTGAACTCCTTGTCTTTCTGCTCCGCTATTCTCAGTTTACAACTTTCATTCTCATATTACTATCGGGTGGCAAAATAGCGGCTGCTCCTTCTCCAGCCTCCTGTTCATATCCCAGGCAGGAACAGGAAGGACACATATGGGATGGGGCAGTGCAATGAATGGGAAATGGGGAAAGGACACTTTCCCAGGTATTCCCGCAGACTTTCTCTCATGTCTCATTGGGCAGAGCTGTGGCATCTGGCCACTCTTAGTTGCAAGGGAGATTGTAATGTAACAGTCTAGCTGGTACATTGCCCCCTCCATAAAGAAGATTTAGTAATAAGAGAGAAGCGGGGGCAATGAACACTGGATGCGCAAACTGCAGTGTCTGTTAGAACATGTAGATTTGGTGCTTTGAGTGGAATGTGTCAGCTTGGACATTTCAGTCACTCCCTAATTTTACTTCCACCTTGGGTGAAATCAAGAATGTCCTTGTGACTCGGAATATTCTAGGAGTTCTCATGGCCAATGCTGGGCCACCTTTGCTTTAGGTCTTTACCCCTTGAATGCAGCTTTTGTGCTCTGAAGGAGAACACGAGCTTTCAGGCAGCTCATAGTTGGATATTCTTAATTTAAAATCCAGCTGTGTGCACAGTCCCCAGCCCAACTTCTCAGCATCGGACCCCTCTCAGTTGGCTCCCTCAGCTCTCATCTCCTCCTCCAGTGCTTATTCCACATGCATCTTGTTGACTTCCTCCACTGCCGTCTAATTTTCTATCACAGTAGCTGGAGGATTGGCCTGGAAAAGCAGGGATCTGAGTAGGACACATAGTGACCGAATCTCTAGCGAACTTGCCAAGGGCTGAAGCTGGAAATGCCGACAGGTTAATAGTTACAATCAAAGAAGCCTCAATGAAGTGGCAAGAAAAGGGACAGAGGCTTGTCAGGGAAGAGCCAGCAGGTCTAAGGAGTCACTGAAGAGGCCAAGGAGATCTCGTTTGTGGTGATGACTGATTGACAAGGAAGACAGGGCCTCCTGGGGACTTCCTTCACCAAGACCTCTCTGAGCCCCATCGTAGCAGGACTCAGGCTGTCCAGGTCACCGTGGCTCAGGCCTCTCCAAAATGGCAGGGGTGAGCTGGAACAGGGCTTTCTGGTAATGTTTTTCAGTCTCACCTGGTATTTGTTCATTTCTTCCTTTCTTCCTACTCTTTGGGGAAGCTCCTCCACCCCCAGCCTGCCTTCCCTCTGGATCCTCCTGCTTCACGCTTTGCGTGTTTGCCTGGTGGGAGGTTGTAGGTACCTTAAAGACCTTAATAAGATCTGTAAACATGCACTTCCAGCAGCATCACTCTTGCCTGCCTTGGAAACTTCTTGCTTAAGTGAAATCTAAACAGCCGGTAATTATATATCACCTCTCAAGGACCATTTAAGAACCAAACCAGTATTTACAAATGGATTTGAAATGTTCTCTGTAAAAGGAACTAATTGTTACCTCTTAGTGCCTAGGAAAGCAAACAAAAGAGAAAGAAGGCTTATATTTGTCCAATGGTATGGGCAATAGGGCCTCTGGCCCAAATCAGACAGCCTGAGGATTTTATCCAGTTGGAAATAAAAACTTCAGAATGCATTTGATCAGAGGGAACGAGAATTGATTATTATTTCTCCTGAGTAGAATTTACCTGACTCAAAGAAGCAAGGAAATAGACAGCAGGAGTGCCGGCACCTTCCTTCCATGGCTGGGCACTCATAGTGTCATGGAGACTTCTCCTGGAAGTGTAGCTAGTGCTGTTCCTGAGCCAGGCCAGTTTCCATTCCACTTGGACTGGGATCTGATCTTTGTTGTCAGGTGGAAGCCTACATAACTTGCACCCAGGGAGTCCAATGCCAGGGAGTCACAGTGACTCCTTACCCCCGCAATGCAATGTGAGCGTAACCTATGTCATTGGCTAATGCCTCCGTTTCCCCATTAGTGCAGCTGGGCTTCATTAAGACTAAAACAATCTAATTAAGTTTAAGAGCTTCTGCACAGCGAAAAAAACGATCAACAGAGTAAACAGGAATCCTACAGAATGGGAGAAACTATTTGCAAACTATGCATCTGACAAAGGTCTAATATCCGGCATCCATAAAGAACTTAAATTTACAAGAGAAAAACAAACAAAACAACCCCATTATAAAGTAGGCAAAAAACATGAACAGACACTTTTCAAAAGAAGACATACCTGCAGCCAACAAGTATGAAAAATAGCTCAATATCACAGATCATTAGAGATATGCAAATCAAAATCAAAATGAGATACCATCTCACACACCAGTCAGAATGGATATTACTTGAAAGTCAAAAAATAGCAGATGTTAGCGAGGTTGCGGAGAAAAGGGAACACTTATACACTGTTGGTAGGAGTTTAAATTAGTTCAACCATTGTGGAAAGCAGTGTGGTGATTCCTCAAAGATCTAAAGACAGAAATACCATTTGGTCTGGCAATTCCATTACTAGGTATAAACCTAGAGAAATATAAATTGTCCTACCATAAAGACACATACACGTGAATGTCCACAATAGCAAAGACGTGGAATTGACCTAAATGCCCATCAATGAGAGATTGGGTAAAAAAATGTGGTACATATACCTCATGCAGTACCACGTGGTCATAAGAAAGAATGAGATCATGTGTTTTGTGGGAACATGGATGGAGCTGGAGGCTATTATCTTTAGCAAACTAAAGCAGAAACAGAAAACAAAATGCTGCATGTTCTCACTTATAAGTGTGAGCTAAATGATGAGAACTCATGAATACAAAGAAGGGAACAACAGACACTGGGGTCTACTTGAGGGTGGAGGGTGGGAGGAGGGAGAGGAGCAGAAAAGATAACTATTGGGTACTGGGCTTAATACCTAGATGATGAAATAATCTGAACAACAAACCCCTGTGACATGAGTGTACTTCTGTAACAAACCTTTACATGTATCCCTGAACCTAAAATAAAAGTTAAAAAATAAAAAAGAACACAAGCAGCTAATCAATTAAAATGTTCAACTACTAAAGAAAAAAAGACTAAAACTGTGTCCTGGATTTTAAACATTTTTTGATCTGGGCCCCTGATGCTATCACTAACCCTTGCTAACTGATAGCTCTGTCCAGCCTTCCAGAGCACCAATGTCTAATGGAAATGAAAACGAGAGCCATATCAGTAATTTGAAATTTTCTATTAGCCACATTAAAGAAGTAAGAGGAAACAGGTAAAATTAACTTAGTGATATATTTTATTTAACCCAATATATTGCAATATTGTCATTGAAGATGTAATCAATATAAAATTATTAATAAGTGTTTCAGCCATGGATCTCTAGAGAGAGAACCAATAGGATATATACATGAAAAGGGATTTTTTTTTTAAAAGGAAAATTGACTTACTTGATCATGGAGGCTGAGAAGTCCCACCCATGATTGGCCATCTGCAAGCTGGAGAACCATGGAAGCCAGGAGCCTGCCTCAGTCTTAGTCTGGAGACCTCAGAACCAATGAATCCAATGGTTGAACTCTCAATCTGAGGCCAAAGGCCTGGAGGGATGCTGTATAAGTTTCAGGGTCCAAGAGCCAGAGAACATGGAATTTTGACATCTATGAGCAGGGGAAGAAGGGCACGCAGGCTCCGGATGAGAAAGAAAAAGAATTTGTCCTTCTTCTGTCTTTTGTTCCATCTGGGTCCCCAGTCAAATGGATGGTGCCTACCCATACTGAGGGCAGATCTTCACACTTAGTCCACCAACTCACATGCCACTCTCCCACAGAAACACCCTCATAGGCACCCCTGGGGAGTCCAATCATTCTAATCAAATGCCAGACAAGCTGGGTTTCTCTTTCAGCAGAAGAGGGAATTTTATGTTAGTTTTATGTGTCAACTTGATTGGGTTTTTAGTTAATTTTATGTGTCAACTTGATTGGATTAAGGGGCTCCCAGATATTTGGTCAAATATCATTTCTGGATGTGTCTGTGAGGGTGTTTCTGGATGCAATCAGCATTTGAATTGGTGCACTGAGCAAAGCGGATTGGCCTCCCTATTGTGGGTGGGTAGCATCCAGTCTGTTAAAGGCCTGAATGGAATATAAGTCTAACTAAGAAAGAATTACTTCTGTCTGACTGACTGTCTTTAAGAAGTCATGAGTTTTCTTCTGTTGCAGACTTGGACTCAGACTGGAACTGATACCATTAGCTCTCCTGGCTCTCAGGTCTTTAGATTCAGATTGAAACTTCTCCATTGATTTTCCCCTGTCACTAGCTTGCAGATTGCAGATCTTGGGACTTCTCAGCCTCTGCAAATACATGAGCCAATTCCTTGTAGTGCACATGTGTCCTGTTGGTTTGTTTCTCTGGAGAATCCAGACTAATACAGTTTCTCATAGGCTGAGCATATGGAAATATAACATTGATGACCAAACATATTATGAAGATACCAGTCAGTAGATTCCATATTCTTATGTCAAGGTGCAACACAGGCAGCATTCTGAGCTACTCTGAGTCAGGATCCAGGGAGAAATTGGTAGCTAATTGTGGAGTGTGATCCAAGTAAAAAAGTGGCATCAAGAAGCCATCAGCAGAAGATGGAATCTAGGAATGAAGCCAGAAATCCGAAAAACTGGAAATCTGAGAGATTATGCTAGGACTGAACCAGAAAAGTGAGAGAAAAATACTCACCTTATGGAGGCTAAGAAAACTACTTTCTGTGGGTGTGGCTGAGCTTTGCAGTTCTGTTTAATTTGGGGTGTGCCTTCTTAGAAACTGTTAGGAGGTCGCTGCCTTCCATGACACTTTTGTTACAGAGGCCATCCTTCAACATTTGTCTCTGGGATTACTCCTGTTTGCCTCCCTGCCTCCAGCTTTTCCTTGTCCTCCTGTAATCTTTATACGAGGCAAATCTAATCACAACAGTTAACCCCCAGATTGAAACATATTTTGCCTGTAGTGTGATGACCAAACTCCCATTGGTGTTTTCAGAAACCTTTATATCCTATCTTTTGCTTATCTATCTTTTCAGCCATCCCCATCTGTTTCCGGATTTCCCTTACATACATGACATTTTATGTACTTTGCACCATAATGCTTTCTCTTTCACATCTGTGCTTTTGCACATGGTTTCTCCTTGCCTGCAAAATCTCCCCCTTTCCCATTCTTCAATTCAATCCTTCTATTTCTCCTCCAAGAAAGAGTGTAGACATCACCTTCTCCAAGAATCATCCCTGATATTCCCAATTATCTTAATTCCTGGTTGGATTAGATGCTGGTATGTTGAATTTTCAAAAGCATTACCGGTATCTTCATAGTAGCACCTATATTACTACATTTTAATAACTTGTTTACATGTTTGCCTTCCCATTATACCATAAAGTTCTTGAAGGCATTTCTGTATTCTCAAGGCACAACACCGGGGTGGGCCTCAGAAAGACTTATGCAATGGCCAATGCCTGGGTCTGCCCAGCTTCTATGAAGAGTATCATTGGAAACGGGGGCTCAAACCAAATCTGCCTACTCTGAGTTTCCTATCTGATTTAAGCTGTGATTCCCCAACCACTTCATGGCTATGTCAACTTAGGCTGGGACTCACACCTTTAAGAAAGCAATTTGTCAGTATGTACGCCGAAATAAACTGTTTTTCCCAAGATGTTCACTGCAGTATGGCCTCAGATAAAAAAGCAGAAGAAATAACCAAATTACAACGAATATGTAAATTATAGCATGCCAACGAGCTGAAATTTATGCAGTCTTAACCATGATTGTGAAGACAGGCTAACAGCCTCAAAGAAAAAAGACTCAGTACTTTCTGTGCACCCTCAAAGAGAAAATACAATTTCATTAAAAGCTCTTCTTCTGTTTATTCATTCATTAGTTCACAAATGTTTATTGAATACTTGTGATGTACAAAGCTCTGCTCATTAGCAAGAAGTCTACATTTTAATTAAGATTTCCAGGGGAAATGGAAGATAGGACTACATCACTCATTATACAACATGTTATTTAGCGGTAGTCTCATTCACTATCTTACCCCTTACAAAGTTACTCTTAAAATTAAGTGTTCTTAAAACCTTCTCCTCCCTTGTGGTCTAGCCTCACCTTTTCCCACTTCCATCAATTACTATCTCTTTACATTCAATCTTGTCTTAAGTGAGCAATTTATCTATCATTCTTAAAGTTCCGTAAGTCTTGTATCCTTGTACCCATTACCCCTCTCAGTAAACAATTTTTTTTATTTTTAAATTAAATTAAATTAAATTTTTTGAGATGGAGTTTCACTCTGTCACCCAGGCTGGAGTGCAATGGTGCAATCTTGGCTCACTGGAACCTCTGCCTCCTGCTTGCAAGCGATTCTCCTGACTCAGCTTCCTGAGTAGCTGGGATTACAGGCGCCCACCACCACATTCGGCTAATTTTTTTTTTTTTTTTGAGATGGAGTCTTGCTCTGTTGCCCAGGCTGGAGTGTGGTGGTGCAATCTTGGCTCACTGTAACCTCCACCTCCTGGGTTCAAGAGATTCTCCTGCCTCAGCCTCCCGAGTAGCTGGGACTACAGGCACGCCACCACGCCCAGCTAATTTGTGTATTTTTAGTAGAGATAGGGTTTCACCATTTTGGTCAGTATGGTCTTGATCTCTTGACCTTGTGATCTGCCTGCTTCGGCTCCTGTTGCCCAGGCTGGAGTGCAGTGGCACAATCTTGGCTCACTGCAACCTCCGCCTCCCAGGTTCAAGCAATTCTCCTACCTCAGCCTCCCAAGTAGCTGGGATTACAGGCACGTGCCACCACACTTGGCTAATTTTTGTATTTTTAGTAGAGATGGGGTTTCACCATGTTGGCCAGGCTGGTCTCGAACTGCTGACCTACGGTGATCCGACTGCCTCAGTCTCCCAAAGTACTGGGATTGCAGACGTGAGCCACCATGACTGGCTGGGCCCAGCTAATTTTTGTGTTTTTAATGGTTGCGGGGTTTCACCATGTTGACCAGGCCAGTCTCCAACTCCTGACCTCAAGTGATCCGCCCGCCTCGGCCTCCCAAAGTGCTGGGATTATAGGTGTGAGCCACCATGCTCTGCCAAAAATGTGTTTTAGAGTTTGTTTTTCTTGAAAGGCAGTAAATAAATTGTAAATAACAAATTATGTTTCCCTGCCATAGTACTTGTCCCACCCTGGCATAGATATGCACTGGGGGCAAGATACCTTCTTGGAATTATTGATCATCTTGGATCTCGGACCTCTCTAAGCTCAATGTGGTACAATGGGTACAAGAACACGAAGTCCCCTGTGCAGCTACCTTTCTGATACAGGCTAAACACTATTTGTCTTAGTCCCTTTGCATTGCTGTAAAGATATTCCAGGGTATATCTGGAGGCTGGGCAATTTCTAAAGAAAAGAGGTTTATTTGGCTCACAGTTTTGCAGGCTGTAAAGAAGTATGGCACCAGCATCTGCTTCTAGTGAGAGCTCCAGGCTGCTTCTACTCACGGTGGAAGGGGAAGAGGAGCTGGCATGTGCGGAAAACCTGTGGTGAGAGAGGAAGTGAGGGAAGAGAGACTCCAGACTTTTTAACAACCAGCTCTCATGGGAACTAACAGAACAAGAACTCATTTGCTCTCCTCCACCCCCAGGGAGGGCATTAATCTATTCATGAGGGAACCACCCCCATGATCCAAACACTTTCCATTAGGCTCACTCTCCATATTGAGGGTCAAATTTCAAGTTGAGGTTTGGGGAAACCAACGTTTAAACTATAGCCCTCTTCATGAGTTTTCAAGAGGGCCTGAAGCTGGTATCTGCAGTGCTTGTAAAGGGTCTTATGAAACGTTTCATGGCTAGGAACTCTTGCTATGGCTAATCTTCCCCTGTCAGAGCTGAGATGAAATTGCTGGAAGAGAAGAGAGAGAGACAGTTGGCCTAGTTCTAGTTCTAGGTACCACCCAATCGTATTTAAATAATTCATATATTTAAAATAACAAAATAAATATTTTATGAGTCTTTAAATTTCAGGAATGAGCTGCATCCTTGAAACCCACAGAATAAAAACTAGACTTCAGTCACAAACACCACTGCACAGTGAAATGTTGCTATTAGTGGGCACACATAATTCAGAGCTGACAGAATTTCACACTCAGGGGCCTTCACAATCCAGCTTGACTGCCTCATGTGGAATGCTAGGGAGGAGGCTGTCTTCTTCCTTGTCTCCTGAGGGTTCCGTGTCCTTTGAACAGCAATCTTTTGATCTAAACAGGGTGAGATGCTTGCTCATGCAAACCATTTTGCTGTGAAAGAAATGTACAACTCACTCCTGGCCATCTTGAGCACCTTTAAGAAACCTTGTTAATAAGATTTGGTGGGAGGGTATGTAGTTATAAAGCAGAACAATAAGGCTGGTGGGAGTTGAATAATTTTTCTATTTGTCTCTATTTCCCAGGAGGATTTTAGAGAGGATGCAAAGTACTTGCAGCAATGTGACTAGAATATTTCCTCAAAATGGTTGCTTATTCTCATTCTGTCTATTTTAAAATATAATGCTTATTGATTTTTTTGTATAGTTATAGAAGTAATGTATGACCATTATATAAAATTTGGAAGATATGGCAAATGTAAAGAGGGAAAGAAAAGGCATCCATAATTGATCTCATTATTTTGCAGGAGAGAGAAGGCCTAATTTCTATGCTTAAGAGTCTCTTTCTCTTCACTTTGTTCTCTTATTAGCCTTCCTCTAGTTCCTTGGTTACCCAGGTTAAAAGCAGTTTTGAAAGAGGGTACCTCTCTTCTACAACTTGGTTGTTGATACACTCATTGTTATCACAGGTCTTGACTAGGGCACATTTTTGGAATTAATT
The DNA here is from genome assembly GCF_000001405.40 of Homo sapiens. Taxonomy (NCBI): domain Eukaryota; kingdom Metazoa; phylum Chordata; class Mammalia; order Primates; family Hominidae; genus Homo; species Homo sapiens. Next base: position 84,675,964 of record NC_000010.11, read on the forward strand.
GCAAAGATTTCTTCTACCGTATCATATGGAAGATAAAATTTACATAACTTGTGTTTTTGATGTAGTGATCCTGGAGAATTAATGCATAAGATTTAAGGCAGCACTTCTCAATCTTGGCACTAAGGCCATTTCAGATCAGAGGATTCTTTGTTGTGGGGCTTCCCTGTGCATTGTAGGATGTTGATAAGCACCTCAGGCTTCTACACACTAGATACCAGTAGCAAAATCTCTTTGCCCGAGTTATAATAATCAAAAATGTCTCTAGAAATTGCCAAATGTTACCTGGGTGAGAGGGGGTGAAATTGCCCCTGGAGAGAACCGCTGTCATGCACACCTAGAAGTTAGAAGTGCCAGATTAGAAGTGCCAGAGTCTCTGGACTTTCAATTGGTCATGTTTTAGACATGAAATGTCACGAAGATAAGCATTTTAATGAAATTTCTGAAAACACAAATTTTATTAATAGCTTGTGTTCCTATTGCTTTTTTTTTTAGAGCTGGGCAGGAGAGTGAAGGTCAGGGAGGGCTACTGGCTTTCAGGAAATCTAGAAAGCTGGAGTCATGGAAAAGCTTTCTAGAAGTTCAGAAGGTTGCAGAAATCCCATAGGGTTTACTACTGATAATCTCAATAACTTGTAGAAGCAATATGAGTCATTTTTAGAAAGAAACCTGGAAGCTACTGGCTCTCAAAATTATTTGCCATCTGCTGACACCAGAGAGCCTGTCTCTAGATGCTGCAGGATGAGGTGGAGATAATGGCTCCGCCTCCTCTTGTGCTTCTGGGATCTCATATGAATGCCCTTCAGTGGCCAAATCTAACTAAAATCCTGTTGGCAAGGGAGTCTTGGAAATGTAGATTCTAGGCTTTCAGCCCTGCAGCCCCAGAAGTTGCTGAGAACAGGGATATGACTGAGATAGTCGTGAAGATATTGTGATATGGCAAAGGGGCAATTATTAAAGTGTCTTTTGTTAGCGTTAGATTTGACAAGGGGCATAGCCTACTCCAGTGATGCTATATTGATAAAATATCCTTAAGCTTCTTTATCTGATTATCATGCCTTGTACATTGTTAAGGCACTATAGAAGCTAAAGCTATGGGATGTGTGGGATGGATGAAGTTTCCTGGTGTCGGTAAGACAACAAACCTACCATTGCATAAAAATATATAAAAATTAGGATGGTTCTGCATAGATAGCTTCATGCACTATTCATTTATTTATCTGATGTTATCTCATAATGTTCCCTCTAGTATCCATTATTTAAAATATTCAAGTATTACTTTTATCATGAAAAATAAGCTTAATAAACTTGAAAAAGTATTACTGCTATTAAAAAATCTAATGTATAATATTCATTTTGCTATATATATTTCAAAAACATTATTTTAAAGTCTCTACATTATTTAGTCATGTGGATTTAACATTTGTGCATAAATCTTGGTCCCCAACTTTAGTTAATGCCTTAGGATAGGTTTTTAGAAGCGGCTAACTCATCTAAAACTGTAAATTAATTGCTGTACCAAATGTTTGGAGTGATTAGTTACCACCAGCAGCATATGAGAGTTCCTGTTTTCTGCCACTTTATGAACACTGAGGTCAAACTGTTTATCTTCAAACCAAACCAAACAAAAACACTGCCATTTTTATAGGCAAATATTATTTTATTGTATAGTTTTGCATTTCTTTGGTTTTACTACGTGAGTTTCTTTATTTAGATTCTGCACATATCTTTAAAAATACTTATTATGGTATAGGTGATATAAACTCAAGGTACAAAACTCAAAATGAACAAAATGACAGACAGTGAGAAATAAGGCTGGCTTTTCACCCCTCTACTTCAATCAATCAGTTTATCTCCCAGGAGGCAAGCATTTGCCTATTTTTAGTGTGTACTTCAGAGATGTAAGATTTATGTAAGATAAAATGTATATGTATGAATATATGTGAATAGAATACACATACATTTATAATTTTTACCGAGGGCTAGAATATTATGCATACCATTCTGGAATCTTTTTATCAATGTAAATTAGAGAACTTTCCATATATTAGCCATTTACCATGATTTATTTAATCGGTTGCTATTGATGGTCATTTTAGGTTGTTTTTGATTATTAGAATCCTTGCTGTAATGAGTAACTTCGGGTCTACTAATTTTGCAGACATAAGTGCATATGTGTAAGATGAATTCCTAGAATGAGAAGTGCTTAAGCATAGATTTTATGTATATTACGTTTTAACAGATATATGCACATTTATTTTTAGTTTAATTGTGAAGTCAACAGTGCTTTTTATTAGAAGAAAACAACTATTTACTTCTTCCTTGAGTCACATGGGGACTCTAACCTAAGAATTTATCCTAATAGTAATGGCTGTAATGGCTGATTTTATGTGTCAATTTAACTGACCTGTGGGGTACCCAGATTAAACATTATTTCTGGGTGTGTCTTTGAGGATATTTTGGATGAGATTAGCATTTGAATCAGGGGACTCAGGAAAGTATCCATTGCCCTCACCAATGTGGAGGATCATGCAATTTGTTGAGGGCCTGATTAGAACAAATGGCAGAGAGAGAAGGAATTCATCCCTTTTCTTCCTGCCTCACTGCTAGAGCCACAGCATCTCATTTTCTGCTCTTGGACTAGGATTTACACGATTGGCTTCCCTGGAGTGCAGGGCCTTTGGACTCATTCTGAATTACATCACTGCCTTTTCTGGGTCTCCAGTTGCTGATGGCAGATCATGGAACTTCTCAGCCTCCAAAGTTGTGCCAGCCAATTCCTTATTATCTATGTATCTCTCTATCTATTGTTAAAAAGGGAAAACCTTAAGCAAGTTTAAATTTATCAGTTTTTTAAGCAAAAAAAAAAAAAAAAAACCCTCCAACAGCAATGATTCATGAATCGAGCAGCCTTCAGAATGAGAATTTAGGCTTTAAAAACTCCTGTGTGCTGCATGGTCAGGCAGCATTTACGGACAGAAAATGGAAGTGGGGTGAAGAGTACAATGGCCTCCCACAAATTTTATTTAACACTATCTATCTTCTATTGGTTCTGCTTCTCTGAAGAAACCTGACAAATAATGATGTTTATTATGTTCTACTCAATGTTCTGAGCACTTTCCCTATAACAATTATTTAATTGTTATCACAGCCACATGCACTAGGTATCATTGTTAACATTTTCATGTTTCTGTAGAGAAAGCTGAGGCGTAAGAGTTTAAATAATATGCCTAAGGCCATTAGGGGCAGTGAGTGGGGGAGCTGGAATCTGAATCCAGGTTGTCTAGCTTCAGAGCCTAAGCAGTTAGGCATTCTGCTACACTACCAAGCACACTGAGCTCATTCTTTTAAGCAGTAATTCCGAATCTTTGTCTAGTTTATTTGGTGTTTAAGGGAATAGTCCTTAGATGCGTGTGACTTAATGGTAGACCATGTGCTAATTTTTGTAAGCCCAAAGGTACACCTTAAAATTTTTTTTAATTTTGCAAATTGTGACACTTTAGTCCTTTTCCCATGGAATTTCAATTTTAAGTTTTTGAGGTAGACAACCATATAATCTGTGAATATTGTTAATTTGATCATGTTGATGATATTATACCTCTAATTTATTTTTCATATTTTAGTGTATTGGCTCAGACTTCCAGGATGCTCTAATGTAATTTTGATGTCTTTTTTCTTCAGATTTCAATGGGAATGAATGTCTACAGTGGTCCACAGTGTGTAGGATATTAATATTAATTCATAGTTTTGGACAGAGATTCATGACCATAATGAGGGACTCTTTTTCATCACTTACATAGAGTCCTTAATAAGGAATAAATGTTTAGTTCTATCAAATGCCTGTTGGGGGGGTCAAATATGAATATTATCACATATAATTATATTAATTGAATGATTATGTTTGATGATGACGTGTTCTAATTACATCTATTGCTATAAAATGAACTTCCCCAATGGCTGGAAACAATAGCCATGATTTATTTTGCTCATAAATGCAAGTTGACTGGACTCAGTTCAGCAATTTTAGCTGGAGTAGAGAATGGGTAGTGTAGATTGGGGGTGGGGAATGGGACTGGGAGGTAGGGTGCAGTTTCTGTTATAGCTCTAAGGCAGTCTAGGTTAGACCAACCAGCCCAGGTTAGGGGTGGAGGCTTCAAGTCACCCTGATACTGGTAAGAAATCCTTCGGTGGCCTTGGGAGAGAAACAACTCAGCTTCCTTGAGAGATGTGTCAGAGCTCAGGGGAAAGCATCCACCATCCACAGGGTGCAAAAGAGGACTCGAGGCCCAAAACACGGAATGCCTGTTCAGGGAAAGAGTGGCTGGAGGCCAAGGGAGAAACTGGTTTGGGCCCCACAAAAGACTTTGAGGTGCCTGTGGATTGTTGGTGCTTGATCAGGTGGTCGGCACCTTAAAAAGAATCATACTTGACAATTCACTGTGAAGTCAGCGCCGCATACACTCTAGAAAGACAGCGGCAGCCAGCGGGGAATTGTTTTTGCGAATGTTTAGGCTGTAAAGAAGAAATACCTGAATGAATAAGTGAGTAAACGAAAATCACAGAGATAGGACATTTTCCAGAGGGATCCTGTGAGAGCTGTGTCCCTGTCTTTTCTCCAACCTTCAAAGACCAACTCCCTAACATGAAAATGCTTGGCTCAAGCCGGAGGCTGTTTGGGTACAACCTTCTAATTTCATTCCTTAGCTGTGACCTTGAATAAGCTGCTAAATCTGTGCCTCAGCTTCCTCATTTGTGAGATGGGTCAAAAACAGTATCTTCTGTCTAGGAATATGAATAAGGTTTAAATGAATATCTATCTATCTTCTATCTATATCAATCAGCTATCTATTATCTATCTCAATTATCTATCTATCTATCTATCTATCTATCTATCTATCAATCATCTATCTACTGTCTTCCAGCATCATCAGGCACTACATAACCACTTTTGGTTAAGGTTGGTCATTGTTATTTTTTTTTTTTCTGAGACTCTATATACAGTCACTGGATCACTCTAAATCTCTTCTCTAAATATTTCTCATCCAAATCCATCATGTCTCATCAACACCAACTACAACCCTACAGCTGCCTCATAATCCTTAGTCTCCCTGATTCAAACCTCAACTTGGATAATTTTCCATACCAACTATTTGAAAAGCGCAGCTATGCTCTAGTGATTTCCTTATTTTATCAGCTTTCAATCTAAACCCTTTTGCCCTACATTCAAGACTTCATTTCATTCTTTACTATGGAAATATACACACACACACAACATATACATATATACTTAGACACATACACACACAACATCTACACATACACTTAGACACATGCATGCACATACATGTACATATATACTTACACATACATACATGGATGTTCTTACATACACACATATATATGTAGAGAGAGATGGAGTTTTGTTTGTGTTTTACATAAAAGGTAACTTAGCCTGTGTCTTATGTTACATTTCCCCTTAACTTTCTGTTTTTATGTATTGGGCTGGCTCATTTTTTAAAACAGTGTCTTTCTGATATGCAGGTTTCTGGTTTTGTGCAACTGTCCACTCCACTCTACACGAGATATCTGGTTTAGGTTAGATGGACTCAATCCCCTGCCTCTGGAAGGTGGAGTTTGATTTGTCTATACTGGTAATTTTACTTTCATTCCACTAATGGAGCCCTGTGCAGCTGTTAACAAAGAATGGGCTGACTTAATAAAGGAAGACATGGCTAGTTAAGGGAAAAAGATGACATACACACATGCTAAATTACTACTAGCAGTTATTGACAGAGGCAGGAGGCATAATTTTGATCAGTGGGGTGTAGAGAACTTACAGGAAAGATTTCTTTGTTCTTGAAAAAGAGACACAAGGAAGAAACAGCTCCCCTTCTCTGTCTCTGGACTTTGCTGTATCAGACACAATGCATAGAGCTACTGAAGCTCCCTTGTGGTTAGGGAAGTCTTCCTAAGGACAGAGCCAAGGTGTGTAGGAGGCCAAGCCAGGGCCACTGTGGAACAGGGGCTGAATGCCCAGCCCTTGGACTGTTGTCTTGTGAAAATGCATTTCCTCAGCCTTGGAGTGGTTGTGGGGCCTTCTGTCACTTGCAGCTGAGCACCTCCTAACCGATGCAGCTCCTTCACTGTAGTTCCATTTTATCTGCACGAGGGTCTCTCTCCAGCCTGAGCCTCCTTGATAGTGGTGGTTCCGTGTCACTACTACTAAGAGAGGATTCTTCTCAGACTCTGTGGTACCCTGGAATCCCTTGCTATATATTTTCGTGCTTTTCTCCACTGTTATGGGATTTTAATGCTGGATTGAGAGAAGCTGTATCATGGACAACCTAATGACATTTTAGGCCAAAATTCCCATCACATTCTCCTCCTATGTGTCTGCATAAACAAATCCATACTTGTCTTTCATTTCCAAGGTCAGGCCTTACTGCCTCTGAGAAGCCTTCCTTTCCTATCCTCTGATAGAATTAAACTTCCTTTTGTGCTATTTTTTTTTCTTAGGAGTACTTGCTTTTCTGTTGTGTAGCATCATTTATTAGACCAAACACTGTAATAAACTCTTTTCATATACACATCTCATTTAATCTCTAGGACAACCAGTTCAGTTGGTGTAATTATTGACATTTTATAGGTGAGGAAATTGAAGCATAGAAAGATTAAGTGACTTTCCCCAAATTACACAGCTAGTAAATGGCAGTGGTGGTATTTGAAACTAGGTCTATCTCACCTGAAAGCTTTACTCTTAACCAACATGCTGTGTCCTGTATCAAACAATTGAGCACATACATATATGTGTCTCTGGTGAGCATCTTGAAGGTGAGCTTCTTGTTCACTCTCTATTACCTGAACTGTTCACAGTCTTTGGCACATACGAGACATGCAGGATGGTAATGTGGGAATGTTGAGCTCAGAAGGTTTTTTAGGCAGTGCTTTGGGCATCAACAGCTATGGAGGGGAAGGAGAACAGTGTTTTAATTGTGTTGTCTTAGATGCTGTATTTTGTCTATTGGGCATCCACGCATTGTAGGGCCAATTGTATTAACTATGTGTTCTTATTTTCTGTGTTCTCGATGCTTTGGTATTTGGGGGCCTTACAGACCTGAGGAGAGATTGCTTCTCCCAGGGCTAGCTCATTCCTAAGGACAATCAAAATTTACCGATGAACACTCTTTTCATATGCAAATCAATCCATTCCAAGTTTATATCCCCTGTCACCTTCTTAGCTAATATACCCACAAGCCCACATTTTCTCTGACCCGAATCATCCCAGGGCCAGGTATCAGGCAACTAAAAACCACTCCTATAACTAAAAGCCCACTAGAATGATTCAGATTAGCCAGTCCTAATCTGTTCATCCTGCCCTGCCTTGCCTTCCCCATGGAAACCCCAGTGAAGGCTGTGGCCTGGATTTTGTCTCATTCCTGCCGTCTCCTACTTGACCAAAGCCTAATGCTTTCCCTGGGGCCCTACATGGCATTTATTACACTCACAGATTCCTTGGGTGCCCTGCTGGCTGTTCTTACTGTACATCCTAAGAAGAATTCATTATCCTCATCATGGACACCTGCCCAGACTCCTGTACCTATAATCTAAGCACCATCCCTTCTACCTGGAAGCCCAGCCAGAAATTCTGGAGTGGTTTTTACATTCTCCCTCTCTCCTTACCTGCCGACATTTAATCTGTCACTAAATCCTGTCCAGACTGTATCAGCAATGCTGAGTGAGTAATCCCCACACTCACAGGTGGTCCGGGGTGTCATCATCTCCCTGCAGGGCTCTTGCTGAGATGTCATGCCCAGGCTTCTCTCTGGCACCTGTGAGTGTAATGAACTTCTTTCCATACCTTTTTCTCATTTCCTTTTGTGGCTGCACCAACTTTACCACCCCATATCCAGCATGTGCATTCTTATTAAAAAGGAAAGGGAAAGGAAGGGCAGGGAAGGGAAGAAAGCAGGATTGGGCAGAAGGAGAAGTCAACCTGTGATTCAGTCTCCTTATGAAAACCTCAGGTGACCCTGCAGGGAGCTCTGAAGATGGGATGAGTCTGCAGAATTGTGCCCAGTTGGGTTCAGTTGCCCAGTTGAGTGAAGCTTCTATACCACCATGTGCATCAGTTATGGGATGTGGGCTACCCTACAAAGGGGGCATGTCCTGAGCAAGGAGGCTTTCTTCAGGGGAATCACTCCCTGAAGAGGCTGACAGCTGAGGAAGTTGGGCTGCAACATTCCCAGCAGTTGGAGGAGTAAGTCCTTCATTCCGGAGGGTTTTTGGTGGTGCCTCACAGCCTCTACCACGTCTGTACTACCATGTAGCTGGTTCTCTCTAGAACACCCTCTCCTGCTCATGCCATCACTTTTGCTACTTCTGAGCTGCTGCTGTCTCTCTCAGAGGGAGGTTTGAATATGATACAACTAGAGCATGTGTTCTTTGTCCGGCATCAAGGATGAAGCCTCAGACTGTGGGGAGCCTGTCGGGAAAAAGCTGAGTGTTGGGAAGAAAGCTGATGCAGGGCTTGCATGTCTGACATAATGTCCTGTGGAATGTGTCTAGACCTGCTGGCTCCTTGCTTCTAGCCTTCCTAGGCTCCTAGATCAATTGTGTTCCCATTATCTCAAGTAGAAGAACATGTTCCTTATAAATGCTAAACCGTCACAGCTGTGGATCATGCACCTGCCCTTTTGACCTCCACATTCTCACCACCTGTTTCTCTGTTGGATTACCAATAAATAGCTTGGGCTCCCAGAGCTCAGGGCCTTCGTAGCCTCCATAATCACGATGGCCCCCTGGTCCCACTTTACTTCTCAAACTTTTCCTCAATCCTTTGACTCCGCCAGACTTCCTCACCCCCCACGACCTGGTGTTGGGTCTGATCACCCCAACAGGAGCCCCTGAGAATGCCTCACTTGCTTGGGTTTCTTTCCTGATTTGGGTGCTTTTCAGCTTCCCACTTTCTCCTCCCCATTGAGGCTGTCTCCTCCTGCTTTGGAGACTGTTGTGAATCTTGATCAAACGTTATACCCCTCAGAGTCTGATGGGTTGGAGGAGTGCCATGCTCTCTGACCCCAGCCAGCCGGCCTGTCGCTGCTCTCCACCACTTCCCCCCTGAGCAGGGAGGGCCTTGCCTTGCTCTGCAGGGTGGTTGTGGGTGACCAGGGAGCATGGAGACTTGAGTGCAGCAAAAGCCTGACCCCCCCTTCACTGCTGGAGAAACATCAAGGCTGCCTTGAATTCCTCAGGTTAACCTCAGATGTGAGCCTTGGGAGTTTCCATGCACCAGAGAAGTGGGCTCTGGCCCTCTGACAAAGGACCTGCAGTGGGAGGTGAAAGTGGGGGCTGGATGTGCTGAATGAACCTATTCTTCTCTGAAACTCAGTCTCTGCCTTTTGCTCATAAATTTGTGTCACTGTAAAAACACACCCAGCTTCAAATTACTCTCATCCAGAATAGGTCCAGCTGTCAAACCAAGCCACAGGCATGAGGCCAGCAGTCACATTTTAAAGGGTAAGGCCTAATCCCTTCCTTGTTAAACTGTGGTGTTAGCTGAGCCTGACTGGAACCTGAGGGCTACCTCACAAAAGCAAAAAGAGCATGTAGAGAAATCCAAGCCACTGAGTCAAGAAGCAGCTGGCTCAGTATCCAAAGGAAGAGGGCTCTGACACAGGAACCCAAGGCGAGCCAGATTGAAATAGCTTAGAAGCAAGGAAGCTGGGATGGAACAGCATGTACACCTTCAGCAGCTGGCCTCAGCTCTCCCTGAGGGCTCATCCATTGTGCCAGTGGCTGCAGTAGAGCAGTTGGTTTTTAAAGATCAGGATTCAAACAAGATTAAACAGGTACATCCTACCCCATGCATGGTGCCGTAGCATAAGTGTGGACAGAGGGCATGGAGTGGAGTTTTATGGCACAGAGCCTAGAAGGGGCTCCTTAAATCTATCTCTGGGGGCCCACAGGGGTTATGAGCACCAGCTCTAGGAACCGTCTTTGAAATTCCGTATGTGTGAAATGAGCAAGTTCACCTCTCCAAGTCTCAGCTCAGCTCTTCATGTGCATAATGCATCATTCCCCACCTTTGGAAGGGACCTTCATAGTAACCACCTCGTCATTCAAGAAACACTGACTTTCTACTTCATGCCAGTTACCGTGCTGGTGGTACAGATTCAAAGCTGACTGAGACACAAATGTACTCTGCTCTCCAACAACCAAAAAACAGGAGGATAAACCCTTAAATCCCTTTGTTTGAGGGGGTCCATAGAATACTTCCATTACAGAGAATTTCTAACACATATAGAAGTAGGCCAAATAGCGAAATGAGCCTGGACATGGTGGCTTATGCCTGTAATCCTAGCACTTTGAGAGGCCGAGGTGGGCAGATTGCTTGAGACTAGAGTCTAAGAGTTCAAGACCACCGTCAGCAACATAGTGAAACCCTGTCTCTCCAAAAAAAAAAAAAAAAAAAAAAAAAAGAAGAAGCTGGGCATGGTGGTGCACATCTATAGACACAGCTACCCTGGAGGCTGAGGTGGGGAGATCATTTGATCCTGGGAGGTCCAGGCTGCAGTGAGCCATGATTGCACCACTGCACTCCAGCCTGGGCAACAGAGTGAGATCCCATTGCTTAAAAAAAAAGAGAGAGAATGAACCTCCATAAATGTGCCACCCATTTAAAATAGATATCAGCATAATGCCAAAAGTTATTTCCTATCCATCTCCTCATATTGTTCCTTCAAGCATCTCTTGACTTCATATAATTTCATCTCTAAATAGTCTAGTGTACCTCTATATGATCACAGCTTTAAAAAATAATCGCAGTACCAATAATTAATAATTCCTCAGTATCATCAAATATCTAGTGAGAGTTCAAATTTTTCTTGGTTGTCCTACAAATATGTGTCTTTTTGAGCAGTTGGTTTTTAAAGATCAGGATTCAAACAAGATTAAACAGGTACATCCTACCCCATGCATGGTGCCATAGCAGAAGTGTGGACAGAGGGCATGGAGTGGAGTTTTATGGCACAGAGCCTAGAAGGGGCTCCCTAAATCTATCTCTGGGGGCCCACAGGGGTTATGAGCACCAGCTCTAGGAACTGTCTTTGAAATTCCATCTGTGTGAAATGAGCAAGTTCACCTCTCCAAGTCTCAGCTCAGCTCTTCATGTGCATAACGCACAAGATTGCTGTGATCTTAAATGAGGTGACACACAGCACTTGGTACATAGGCTCACAGTACGTGCTCAATAATTCTGAATACAGCCAGGTGCAGTGGCACATGTCTGTAGTTCCAGCTACTTGGGAGGCAGAAGTGGGAGGATTGCTTGAGCCCAGGAGTTCAAGACTAGACTGTGCAACATAATAAGCACCCATCTCAAAAAAAAAAATTCTGAATATAATTATAATAACAATGGTAAAACAAAAAGTGATGACATTTAATTTAGATCTGCAACCATGCAGGCATGTACAAGGTAAAAGAGAATTAAGACATATTTTCAGCCAGCTGTGGTGGCTCATGCCTGTAATCCCAGCATTTTGGGAAGTCAAGGCAGGTAGATCACCTGAGGTCAGGAGTTCGAGACCAGCCTGATCAACATGGTGAAACCCTATCTCTACTAAAAATACAAAAAATTAGCCAGGCATGGTGGTGGGCACCTTGTAATCCCAGCTGCCCAGGAGGCTGAGGCAGGAGAATCGCTTGAACCTGGGAGGTGGAGGTTGCAGTGAGTTGGGATCGCACCATTGCACTTTAGCCTGCACAACAAAGAGCGAAACTCTGTCAAAAAAAAGACATATTTTCAGACAGAGATAATAAGCAGCTGTATGTAAAAGCAAGGATTAGAAACCAGGTTTATCTGACAAATAGTATGAAGGCCCAGGGTGGAAGTATTGGGAGATGAGGTGGTGAAGAGGGTTGTGGCCAGATCGTATGTCAAGGGTCATGTGTATAGGGCTAAAGAGTTGAGACTTCATCTCATAGGCACCAGGGTAGGCAGCGGTCTGTGGGGAAGTGATGGCACTGGGTTCCGCTGGCAGTCGCATGAAAGGGCAGGACCTGGAGGAGGCAGCCTGGGCATGAAGTCTCAGCAAGAGCCCTGCAGGGAGATGATGACACCCTGGACCACCGGCGAGTGTGGGGATTACTCACTCAGCATTGCTGATGCAGTCTGGACAGGAATTAGTGACAGATTAAATGTCAGCAGGTAAGGAGAGAGGGAGAATGTAAAAACCACTCCAGAATTTCTGGCTGGGCTTCCAGGTAGAAGGGATGGTGCTTAGATTATAGGTACAGGAGCCTGGGCAGGTGTCCATGATGAGGATAATGAATTCTGCTTGGGATGTGCAGTAAGAGTGGCCTGCAGGCCACCCAAGGAAGACACTGCTCTTACTCCGACATCTTCAAATGCCCGAGGAATTGGTTAGGAGGAAAATGCAAAGGACTGAAGTTGTGTCTGGTGTGTCTCCCCTGCCTGCTCTGGACGCTGCTACAAAACCTGATAGCTCCTTGCACTGAGAGGATTCCAGGGAGACTGATGGCCTCTTCAAAGGCCACATTGTAAGTGCAGTGTTGATGGCCGGTGAATAAA